>NT_187536.1:0-248252 GCF_000001405.40 Homo sapiens | reverse complement strand
GAATTCATCTGGGGTATTTTTTGTTTTTTATTTTATTTATTTATTTATTTTGGAGATAGTGTCTTGCTCTTTCACCCTGACTGTTGTGCAGTGGCACAATCTCCGCTCACTGCAACCTCCACCCCCTGGGTTCAAGCAATTCTCCTGCCTCAGCCTCCCTAATAGCTGGGATTACAGGTGTGTGCTACCACACCCTGCTAATTTTTGTATTTTTTGTAGAGACAGGGTTTCACCATGTTTGCCAGGCTAATCTTGAACTCTTGACCTCAAGTAATCTGCCCTCCTCGGCTTCCCAAAGAGCTGAGATTACAGGTGTGAGCCATTGTGCCCAGCATCTGTGGCACTTTTATCTTTCCACTTACTTGGTGAGCATTGTTTCACCCCCTACGACCAGCCCACCTCCCACCAAAATCTGTAAGATCAAAGCAAAATAGGGTCCTAACTTAAATAAACTCTAAGGAGTCTCCAAGTTAGCCCAGTGGTTTCTGGTTGATAATGCATAATTTGGGTTAACTACATATATTGGCAACCAGTTTGGGATAATTTTGCAAGTGACAAAGTTATCCACAAAAGCAGTCAAGATTATTTTAATAGAGAAAATTTTATAAAATATCTTGTTTACCAGGGCATTAGAAACTATAAGGGAAAAAAGCAAAATAAACAAAAATGGACATTGCATTTTTGCAATAACTGAAGAAGCAGTTTCTACACCTAGGATTGGAAGGATGAACAGAAGTTAGGATTACTAAAACTTTGTGGCTTAGAGGAAAGTATCTGGAAACCTCAGACTCAAGGCGGTAGGGCACTAGGTGGCTGGCAGAGGGAACTTTGATGGGCCATCGTGAGGGAAATCAGGTTGAAAAAAACTGCAAAATGGAACCCTATGCTACTATTAGAATCAAGGATCCCTGTTAGGACGGAGAAATAGTGCTGTGATAAAGCTGGCAGGTAGAAGCAAGTCCTTTTTACATTCTCCAGACCAAGTAATCCTCTTTGCCATAGCTTAACTGTGATCTAGTAGACCAAGGAGGGGTTTGCAGTCTTTCATCCCAGCTCACATACAAGATTATTGAGGTGGACTAAGAGCTGAAAGACAAAAGATTAATAAAAAACACACTTTTCTTTTTGAGTAAACAAATATACATTATCTATAGGTATTATTACTTATAATGTTTGAGAACATCTATTTCAGTTTAATTCTACACTTGAAGATCACCTAGTAAGTGCAACTTATTGTTCAATGTGCTGAAGATTAATAAATTGACAAAATACAGCTTCTGCTCTTAAGGAATTCACAATATTTTAAAGTAGATATAATAATTAAATGTAATAAGTAAATGTAAATAAATTAAAGTAAATGTAGAATAGTAGAATGGCACTTAATTTTAAAAGGAAAATTCAAACAATGTCTTGCCTTTAAAAGCAATCTCTCTCTCTCTTTTTTTTTTTTTAAATGAGTTTCACTCTTGCCACCCAGGCTGGAGTGAAGTGGCGTGATCTCACCTTACTTCAATCATTGCCTCCTGGGTTCAAGAGGTTCTCCAGCCTCAGTCTCCCATTATGATTAATGCTGCTGTGAACATTCATGAAAAGTTGTGTGTACATAAATTTTTATTTTTTCTGAGTACATACCTAGGAATCGAATTGTGGGTCAGTTAATATCTCTATATTTTT
The DNA here is from genome assembly GCF_000001405.40 of Homo sapiens. Lineage (NCBI taxonomy): Eukaryota > Metazoa > Chordata > Mammalia > Primates > Hominidae > Homo > Homo sapiens. Next base: position 246,578 of record NT_187536.1, on the reverse strand, counting down.
TAGCCTTTTCAAGTGTTGCCAATCTGCTTTCCAAAGTGTCTATAACATTTCACATTTGTATCAGTAGTGTAGTGGGTTTTAATTTGTTCATATCCTTACCAACAATTGAAATTATCTCCCTTTTTCATTATCACCATTTTAGTGGGTGTGAAGTGGTACCTCATTAAGATTTTAATTTGCATTTCCCTGATGCCTGATGATGTTAAGCATCTTATTGTACTTATTGGCCATTTGTATTTCTTCTTTGGAGAATGTTTATTCAGATCAATTCCCCATTTTGTAACTGGATTATTTGCCTTTTTGTTATTGAGTTGAAAGAGCTCCTCATATATTGTAGATAAAAGTCTTTTCTAAGTTATAATTTACAAAAATTTTCCACCCATTCTGTGGGTGAGTTTCTAATCTCCTGATGATGTTCTTTAAATCACAAAAGTTTTTAATTTGATGATGTCCAATTTATTTTTATCTTTTGCTGCTTGTTCTTTTGATGTCATATCTAAATAAATTGTTTAATCCATAAAAGTTATGCTTTTGTTGTCTTCTAAGAGTTTTCTACTTTGATTCCTACCTTTTAGATATTTTATCTACTTTTAAGTTATTTTTTAATATGATGTGACATATAAATCCATCCCTTTTGCATGTGGATATCCAATTGTCCCAATACCATCTGCTAAGACTACCTGCCATGGAGTTTGCTTGGTACTCTTGATAAAAGTTAATAAGACTATAAATGTGAGGGTTTATTTCTGGACTATCAATATTATTACAATGATCTCTATATCTACTCTTATGCCAATACCACACTGTCACAATTAGTGTAATTTTGTAGTAAGTTTGAAAGTAGGAAAATGTGAGTCCTTCAACTTTGTGCTTTCTTTTCAAGGTTATTTTGGCTATTTTGGGTCCTTTGAATTCCCATATGAACTTTAAGATCAGCTTATTAATTTCTAAAAAGAGGCCAGCTGGAATTATGATAAAGATTGTGTTAAATTTTTAGGTCAATTGCTGTCTTAACAATATTTATTTTTCTAATCCAGAAACCTAAGATTTTTTTTTCTTTTTATTTGGATATTTAAAATTATTTTTAACAATTCTTTGTACTTTTCCAAGTATATTTTTGGATTTCTTTTGTTAATGTATTCCTTTAATAATTATTCTGTTTTGATATTATTGTCAATGGAAATGATTTAATTTCATTTTCAGTTTGTTAATTGCTATTGTATAGAAATGCAGTTGGTATTTGTACACCGATTTTGTATTCTGCAAAGAGGCCAAATTTATTAGTTCTTATAGGATCTTAGTAAAATCCTTGAAGCTTCCTATATAGACCTAAAAATAGAAATACTTTCACTTCTTGCTTTGAATGCAGATGTATGTTCTATTATTTCATTGTTTAATTGCCCTACCACCTCCAGTGTAATGTTGCATAGAGATAGAGAGACTGGGCTTCATGGCATTGTTTCTGATTTTAGTGGGGAAGCACACAGTCTTTCACAATTAAACAAGATGTTAGCATTAGGTTTTCATACATGTCCTTTATCAGATTGAGCATCTCATTTTTATTTTCAATTTTAATTTGTTGAGCACTTTCTCATGAAAGTGTGTTGAATTGTGTCAAATGTTTTCTGCATCTATTGAAACGATCATATGGATTTTGCATGTTATTCTATTTACATGGTGTATTCTATTTATATTAATTGATTTTCAGATGTTAAACCAATGTGGCATTACATATGTACATAAATCTCTGTCTCTATCTCTCTATTTATTGATCGATCTCTCTATAAGGTTATTCAGTTTGCTAGTATCTATTATCTTGTGGGGCATTTATTTTGATTACATTTCTAAAGGATATTGGTCTGCGTTTTTTTTTTTCTTTCTTTCTTTCTTTCTTTCTTTCTTTCTTTCTTTCTTTCTTTCTTTCTTTTCTCATGATATCTTTGGTATTGGTATCAGGATAATACTGGCCTCAAAGAATGAACAGAAAAATGTTTTTGTCTTCCATTTTTTGGAAGGGTTTTGGAAGAATTTCTGTTTTGTTTTTTTTTTTTGTCTGTTTGTTTGTTTTGTTTTGTTTTTACCATTTGGTAGAATTTACCAGTGAAGCCATCAAGGCCTGGGCTTTCTCTTTTATTTTTTGTCATTCCAGTGGGATTCATCGAGGTTTGTCAATTTTGCTGATAGTTCAAATAACCAGACTTGGGGTTTCCTGATTTTCTTTATTGTTTTACTAAACTCTGTTTTATTAATTTCTGTTCCAGTCCTTATTATTACTTTCTGCTCAGTCCTTATTATTACTTTCTGCTTACTTTTTGTCTTTTTTTCCAGGGTCTTTAAGGTGAAAATAAGTAGTGATTTGAAATATTTTATTTTTTTTAAATATAGACAATGTTAGGTATACATTACCACCTATATTTTACTTTAGCTATATTGATGTTTTTATTTTAATTCATCCAAAAGATTTTTGGCTTGTTTGTTTACTTTTCTGTGATCTTTTTTCTTTGACCAATTGGTTATCTAAAAGTCTTTTTTAATTTTCTTATATTTGTGAATTTTTAAAGTTATATCCTGTTATCAATTTCTTATTTCACTCAATTGTGAACAAATGGCTTACATTTGATTATTTCAATTAATTTAGATTTATTGAGACTTCCTTTATGGGCTTCCATATAGTCCATCCTGGAGAATGGTTCATGTGCACTTAGGAAAAATATGCATTCTCCTGTTGTTGAGTAGAAAGTTCTATAGATGTGTGACAGGCCTAGTTTGTATATAGTATTGTTGAAATCTATTTTTATGTTGCTTTCTTTTCTACCAGGTAGTATACTTTAACCACATAATTTTTATTTGGTTATTTTTTCTGTTGAATACTATTTTTTTTTCTGTGTATGGGTTATACTTTCCTATTTCTTTACATATTTCATAATATGTTGTTGTTGTTGTTGTTGTTGTTGTTGTTGTTAAAACTTGGGTATTTTTTCCAGCCTGGGCGATAGAGCAAGACTCTGTCTCAAAAAAAACAAAAAAAAACTGGGTATTTTGGTTGGGTGCGGTGGCTCACGCCTGTAATTCCAGCACTTTGGGAGGCTGAGGCGGGCAGATCACGAGGTCAAGAGATCAAGACCATCCTGGCCAACACGGTGAAATCCCATCTCTACTAAAAATACAAAAAAATTAGCAGGGCGTGGTGGCAGGCACCTGTAGTCCCAGCCACTCAGGAGGCTGAGGCAGGAGAATTACTTGAACCCAGGAGGCAAAGGGTGCAGTGAGCCGAGATCGCGTCACTGCACTCCAGCCTGGTGACAGAATGAGACTCCCTCTCAAAAAACAAACAAACAAAAAAAACTGGGTATTTTAAGAAAAGTGTTGTACCAACTCTGGATACTAGTCCCTGTCCCAACCTTAGGTTTTTTTCCTTAGGGCTGTATGGTATGACGCAATTTCTTTCTTTCTTTCTTTCTTTCTTTATTTTTAATTTCCATAGGCTTTTGGGGAACAGGTAGTGTTTGGTTACATAAGTAAGTTCTTTAGTGGTGATTTGTGAGATTTTGGTGCTCCCATCACCCAAGCAGTATATACTGTACCGAATTTGTAGTCTTTTATTTCTCACCCTATTCCCATCCTTTCTCCCAAGCCCCCAAAGTCCATTGTATCACTCTTATGCCTTTGCATCCTCAAGCTTAACTACCACTTTTTGTTGTTTGCTTGTTTATTTTCTTAGAAACACGAATGAAATATATTACTGATGTCTATTACACCTAGAGTATGAAGCCTGTGGTGTGAAGCCTTTGGCGTAGCTACGCAGAGGGCTCAGCCTAGGGATTGGGCACAGTCACGCTGAGATAACAATGTTTTTTTGGCCAGGAAGTTTACCTCTGATTGTCTCTTTTTCTTTTTTCTGTTTTAAGCCATGGACCTCTTTGGTATTACACCTGCCACATAGGCTCAACTATTTACAGGCTGATTGCTATATTATTTTAAATAATGCTCTGGGGCATAAATGCTTCGCAGACTGGTCTAAATAAATTTAGTCAGAGGTAGTTTTAGAAGCAGGCATAGTTTTTGAAATATAATTTTTCCTTAAATACAGAATCTTAGTTTCTTTTTATTTCAACACTTTAAATATTTCACTTGACTCTTTTTTAGTCATATGGGTTTTTAAGAGAAATCCAGTTTAATTCTTATCCTTGTTTCTCTACAGATAAGATACTGAAGGGTAGGTATAGATTACTTACTATTTATCCTGCTGGGTGTTCTGTGAGCTTCCTGAATCTGTGGCTCAGTGTCTGTCTTTAGTTTTGAAAAATCCCAAGTCATTATTATGTCAAGTGTTTCTTCTGTTCCTTTCTTTCTGCTTTTAGTATTCCCATTATGTCTCCATAATCCTTGTGGGATTATAAAAACTGTGATCCCACAGTTCTTGCATATTTTGTTCCTTTTTTTTTTTTTTGGCGGTTTTCTTTTTTTTTTTTTTTTTTTGAGACGGAGTCTCGCTCTGTCGCCCAGGCTGGAGTGCAGTGGCGCAATCTCGGCTCACTGCAAGCTCCGCCTCTCGGGTTCACGCCATTCTCCTGCCTCAGCCTCCCGAGTAGCTGGGACTACAGGCGCCCGCCACTACGCCCGGCTAATTTTTTGTATTTTTAGTAGAGACGGGGTTTCACCGTGTTAGCCAGGATGGTCTCGATCTCCTGACCTCGTGATCCGCCCGCCTCGGCCTCCCAAAGTGCTGGGATTACAGGCGTGAGCCACCGCGCCCGGCCGGCGGTTTTCTTTTTACTGTCTTTACTTTTCAGTTAGAGACGTTTCTATTGACATAACTTCTAAATCACTGCTTTTCTCAAAAGTATCCTGTCTATTGAAAAGCCCGTCAAACACTTTCTGTCTGTTATATTTTTAACTTCTAGCATTTCCTTTTGAGTCTACTGTAGTTTCTTTCTCCTGCTCACATTACCCATCTGTACCTTTGTGTTGTTTACTTCTTTCCACTGGAGCCCTTAGTATATTAATCATAGTTATTTTAAATTCCCTGTCTCATTATACTAAAACTTCTGACATATTTGTATCTTGTTTGTCTCTTCAAACTTTTTGCCTTTTAGCATGTGCCATGGTCTGAATGTTTGTGTCACCTCAGAATTCATATGTTGAAACCTAGTCCCCAATGGTATTAGAAAGAGAGGTCCTTTAGGAAGTGATTAAATTATGAATGGGCTTAATGTCTTCATAAAATTGGCCCAACAGAGCACATTCATGCCTTCTACCATAGATGACACAGCTAGAAGGCACTGTTTTATAAGCCAGAAAGCAGTTCCTCAGCAGGTGCCAAGTCTGCCAACACCTTGATCTTGGGATTCCCAGCCTCCAGAACTGTGAGAAATACATTTCTGTTCTTCATAAGCAACCCAATCTATCATATTTTGTTTCAGCAGCCCAAAAGGACAAAGATAGTTTTGTCCAAAAATTCAGTAAAAATTTTGTACAAAAATTCAGTAATTTTTTGCTGAAAATCAGACATCAGGGATTGGATAAAAGAAACTGAGGTAAGTAATCTTTTAATATGAGGTTTTATGTTTATCGGTTTATGAGTTAGTCTGTATGTTTGCTATACCTGTATGTCTCCGACCTGTATGTCTCAGATGCTTCAACTTCCTCCAATGCCCTCTTTGGTCTTCCTTATTGTCTTTGAGTTTCCCTAGAAACTCTTTCTTAAATAGGATCTTAGTTTTACAGTTCTTTTAGCTATAATCCACTGTTATAATACAGGTGCTTGATTTAATGTGGTAGCAAGGTATGGAGGGAAAGGAAGTATTCTTTTTTTTTTTTTTTTTTTTGAGACAGAGTCTCGCTCTGTCACCCAGGCTGGGGTGCAGTGGCATGATCTCGGCTCACTGCAAGCTCCACCTCCCAGGTTCACGCCATTCTCCTGCTTCAGCCTCCCAAGTAGCTGGGACTACAGGCGCCCGCCACCACGTCCGGCTAATTTTTTGTATTTTTAGGGTTTCACCACGATGGTCTCGATCTCCTGACCTCATTATCCGCCCGCCTCGGCCTCCCAAAGTGCTGGGATTACAGGCATGAGACACCGTACCTGGCCAGGGAAAGGAAACATTCTATGTTTCCGTTGAGTCTCAGTCTTTTAGTGAGCCTGCATCATGGTGTTGTAACTTTCACAAGTGCTTTTCAGCTTTGTTTTTTTCTTCCTTAGGTGAGACAAGGAGGATAGAGGGGGCTTAGGTTATCTGTATACCTTCATTTACATCAAAAGCTAGATGGAGCTAGAATTGGCTGTTTTCTTTCCCCACATAAAAGGCAGGAATGAAGTCGGATATTTTCCTCACCCCAGGCTAGTTAGGCACCGGTAAAACCCTAGTAGGTTAAACTGTGGTGAAAATGCTTTATTTTAAGAGCAGTTCCTTTTAAAGGAGAAGAGAATGTCGTAGACATATATTGAAATGGTTGTCTTTTCTCTTCTGCTGCCAGAAGCGAGAGAGGATTGTTTTGATGTTGTTGTTCTTCACCCTGAGAACCTGATGAAACTGCTGGAGGTAAAACTCAGAGAAATGTGCTCTCCCCTCTCCTGCCCCACTGTCCCTAAAAGTTAGGCCTCCAGTGTTTTTAACTCTCAAGTTAGTCCACAATAGATTGCTAGAAATGGTTCAGTTGCAACTTGAATATTTCTACCGGTATTATCTCCAGTTGTCTTCTGCCCCTGAGGCTCTACTCCTGTGATTCTGCTTCTAGTAATCTGTAATTGTCAGTATCCATATATAATTTCACTTTGCAGAGCAGTGATTTTCCCTATAACTTCAGTTATCTGGTGGGTATAAAATGAGTTGCTGCTCTTCGGTTTGTTCAATTTTATTTTATTATGAGAATGGTAATGATGAACACTAAGATAATTTTAGAAATTGGAATTCCTAATTTTTAAAAAGTATATTGTAGTAATTCATTGCTACCTCCTTAGGAATAACTGCTGCCTCGGCTTTCAGGACTGATTTTGAGTTGTAATGATCTTTTATTATGGTATCATGAACTGGTTTTGTTGTCAGAGTAATTATAGCCTCATAAAATGTGTTGGGAGATATTCCTACCTCTTGACATTTTTGTAAAAGCACGTGTGTCTTCATTTTATTTATAATTAAGCGTTTGGTAGGACTTACCATTGATGCCATCTGAGCCTGAAGTTTTCTCCATGAAAAGATTTTTAAGTACATATTCAAACTATTTGGTAGGGAGTTACACAGTTACAAAGGAAACAACTTTGATCATTTGTGTCTTTCAAAAAAATGGTTCATCAAAATCATCAAGTTTTTATAATGTATTAAACTATAGTTGTTCATAACTTTAACATAGTATCCTTTAATATCTGTAGACTCTATGGTGATATTGACTCTCTAACTTCTGATATTGGTAATATGAGATTTTTCTCTTTATACCTAATCTGTCAGGCTGGGGCTTTATCCATTTTTGATCATCAGATCTGCCATTTGGCTTCCTTCATTTTTTCCATTTTTTTCTGTCTTATATTTACTAGTTTCTACTCTGATATTTTTAAAGTTTATTTCTCTTTTTCTAAACATTAACCTTCATTCCTTCTTTTTTAATTTTCTCAAATGAAAAATTAAAAATATTAATTTGAGACATTTCAAATTTTTAGAATGTATTAAACTATAGTTGTTCATAACTTTTCCATAGTATCCTTTAATATCTGCAGACTGTAGTGATATTGCTCTCTCACTTCTGATATTGGTAACATGACATTTTTCTGTTTGTACCTAATCAGTCAGGCTATGGCTTTATCAATTTCTGATCTTCAAATTCACCTTTTAGCTTCCTTCATTTTTTCTACTCTTTTTCTGTCTTATGCTTTACTAGTTTCTGCTGTGATTTTTTCAAAATTTTTCTCTCTTTCTAAACATTGACCTCCATTTCTTCTTTTTTTTTATTTTCTTAAATGGAAAACAAAATATTGATTTGAGACACTTCTTGTCTCTAATTTTTCATTCTATTTTCCTTTGGTCCAAGTATTATTTAGAATGTTAATTACAAGTGTTTTATTTTTGTTTCCAAATATTTGGGCACTTTCCACATATGTTTCTATTGTTGAGTTCTAATTGAATTCTATGCTTGTCAGAGAACATAAACTTTGTGAGTTGAATATTTTATATGTATTAAGACTTCTGTGATCTAGAATACAGTCTCTCTTGATAGATATTCATGTTCTTTGAAAATACTATGTAGGCTAGTGTTGTTAGATACAGTGTTCTATAATGTCAATTAGGAATATGTTTGATAGCACTGTTCAAGCTTTCTGCATTCTTACTGATTTTTGTCTTTTTGTTCTACCAGTAACTAAAAAACATTACAAATTATTGAAACTATACCAGGTGGATTTGTTTATTTCTTTTCAAAATAGACTACCAGGTATAGTGTATTGTAGAAATCAGGAAGGCATTTTTAAACTTATTATTTCAAAATAATTTAAGGACATCAATAAACTTACAAATGTAGAGTTCCTATACACCCTTCACCTTGCTCCACCTAATGTTAACATCTTCTATAGCCATTGCGTAATTATCAAAAATTTCATGTTAATATGATACATGAACTAAACAATAAAAGATAAGGTGTTCTAAAACTCCATGATTAGATGTGTGAATGATTCGAATTATTGGGGGTTTTTGATAAATTGAATACTTTATCAATATGATGTAACCTTTTTGCTGTTATAATTATTTTATCTGAAGTCTTTGTTTAATACTAATAAAGTCACTAAACTTTTCCTTTTTCAGTTAGTGTGAACATGATACATTATTTTATATTCTTTAACTTTTAATCTGTTTGTGTATTTATAATTCAAGTTGTTTGTGAGTAGGCAGCATAGAGTTGTGTTTTATTTTCTGGTCCAATCTGACAATCTGCAATTTATTGGGCTGTTTAGACAACTTATATATTTAACTTTATTATTTATGTCTTAATTTTTTTTTCAATTTAGATCTACTATTTTTTATATTTGCTTTTTATTTGTATCAACCACTTTTGTACTCTTTTTCTATCTTCTCTAACTTATTTTGGATTATTTGAATATTTTGCATAATTCCATTCTATATCTTTTGCCTGTCACTCACAAATTACTGATGGCAAAATAACATACAGTAATGTTTCCATAGAGAATATTTCAATTTTTATACTTTCTACAAATTACATAGTTGTTTAATGAGTTTTGCCATTAAGGGCTTTGCATACAGAAATTCACTTATTTAGGAAAAATAATCAAAATAAACCATTTTAGATCATAGCTACTTAGCTACTTCCTGAACTGATATGGTTTGGCTGTGTCTCCAGTCAAATCTCAGCATGAATTGCAGTTCCCATAATTCCCATGTGTAGTGGGAGGGACCTAATGGGAGGTAACTGAATTATGGAGGAAGTTACCTCCATGCTGTTCTCATGATAGTTAGTTCTTATGAGATCTGATGGTTTTAAAAAGGGGTTTCTCCCCTGACCCTTTCACTTTCATTCTTATCCTTCTTGCCACCATGAAAGACGGAGGTGTTTGCTTCCCTTCCATCATGATTGGAGGTTTCCTGAGGCCTCCCTATCCCTGTGGAGCTGTGAGTAAATTATACGTCTTTCCTTTATAAATTACTCAGTCTCAGATATATCTTTATTAAGCAGCTTGAGAACAGACTAATACAGTAAATTGGTACTGGGGGTGGGGTGATGCTATAAAGGTACCCAACAATGTGGAAGCAACTTTAGAACTGGGTAATAGGCAGAGGTTGAAACAGTTTGGAGGGCTCAGAACAGGAAGGGAAATTGTGGGAAAGTTTGAAACTTCCTAGAGACATGTTGAATGGCTTTGACCAAAATGCTGATAGTGATATGGACACTAAGGTCCAGACTGAGGTGGTCTCAGATGGGGATGAGAAACTTGTTGGGAACTGGAGTAAAGATCACTCTTGCTGTGGAAAGAGACTGGTAGCATTTTGCCACTTACCTAGAGATATGTGGAACTTTGAACTTAAGAGAGATAATTTAAGGTATCTGGGGGAATAAATTTCTAAGCAGCAAAGTGTCAAGAGGAAGCAGAGCATAAAAGTTTGGAAAATTTGCAGCCTGATTGATGCGATAATAAAAGAAAATCCCATTTTCTGGGGAGAAATCCAAGCCAGCTGCAGAAATTTGCATAAGTAATGAGAAACCAAATGTTAATCACCAAGACAGTGGAGAAAATGTCTTCAGGGCATATCAGAGACCTTCCTGGAAGACACTCCTGTCACAGGCTTGGAGGCTTAGGAGGGAAAAATTGTTTCCTGGGCCAGGGCCAGGGCCTCCCTACTCTATGTAGCCTTGGGACATGGACCCCTGCATCATAGCTGCTTCAGCTCCAGCTGTGGCTAAAAGTGGCTAATGTACAGCTCAGGCCATTGCTTCAGAGGGTACAAGTCCTAAGTCTTGTTGGCTTACAGGTGATGTTGGGACTGTGGGTGCACAGAAGACAAGAACTGAGGTTTGGGAACCTCTGCCTAGATTTCTGAGGATGTATGGAAATGCATGGATGTCCTGGCAGAAGTTTGCTGCAGCAATGCAGCCCTCATGGAGAGCTTTGCTAGAGCAGTGCAGAAAGAAAATGTAGGATTGGAGCCCCCATACAGAGTCCCCACTGGGGCACTACCTAGTGGAGCTTTGAGAAGAGGGACAGCATCCTCCAGACCCCAAAATGGTAGATCCACCAACAGCTTGCACCTTGCACCTGGAAAAGTCACAGACACTCAATGTCAGTCTGTGAAGGCAGCCAGGAGGGGGACTTTACCCTGCAAAGCCACAGGGATGGACCTGTCCAAGGCTGTGGGAGGCCACCTTTTGCATCAATGTGACCTGGATATGAAAACATGGAGTCAAAGGATATTATTTCGGAACCGTAACATTTAACATCTGTCGTATTGAATTTCAGACTTGCATGAGGCCTGTAGCCCCTTTGTTTTGGCCAACTTATCCCATTTAGAATGGGTGTATTTACCAAATTCCTGTACCTCCATAGCATACAGGAAGTAATTAACTTCCTTTTGATTTTACAGTCCCATAGGCATTAGGGACCTGCCTTGTGTCAGATGAGACTTTAGACTTGGACTTTTGAATTAATGATGAAGTGAGTTAAGACTTTGGGCGACTGTTGGAAGGGCACGAGTATGTTTTGAATTGTGCGGACATGAGATTTTGGAGGGGCCAGGGGTTAAATGATATGGTTTGACTGAGTCACCAGTCATATCTCATCATGAATTGTAGTTCCCATAATCCCCATGTGTCATGAGAAGGACACAGTAGGAGATAATTCAATCATGGGGGTGGTTACCTCCATACTTTTCTCATGATAGTAAGTTCTCACAAGATCTGATGGTTTTATAAGGGACTTTCCCCCTCTTCACTCTAATTCTCCTTCCTGCTGACACAAAAAGAACATGTTTGTTTCCCCTTCCACCATGATTGTAAGTTTCCTGAGGCCTCCCCAGCCCTGCAGAACTGTGAGTCAATTAAGCTTCTTTCCTTTATAAATTACCCAGTCTCCAGTGTGTTTTTATTAGTAGTGCAAGAGCAGACTAATACACCAACTAATAGCTGATATTTTCTGCATTAATAAACCATTCAAGATCTTTTCTTTTTGATCAACCCAGAACTCTAAAGTAGAAATATGCAAAAGTTTTGGTCAACATAATGTGAAATTATAGGCAGAGAATGTATTTAACTGTCACCCACATGTGGTCACATCATCTTCTGAACTGAATGTTAAAATGAATATCACATTGGAATTTATAATCAATTTTAATCTTTAACCCTTCAGTATGACAGATTTCTTTACTCTCCACCCATACTTCACCTTGCCTACCATGCCTCATTCATGCCCTAATGATATCAACTCCATCTTTCCATGTGGTACAATTATATTACCTAAAATAATATCCCCAACTATTATTTAATTCTATATTATTTTAAATTATTTTTGTCAGTGTAATTCTATTAAAGTTCTAAGAAATAAGCATACTGTAATACTTAAATGTTTATTCAATATCCAGAATCCCAACATCATAGCCTGTATTTGTAGATTATATATAAACACAGAATCTTTAATATATAGTTTTCCCATTCATTAGGCATCCTTAGTGGTGGAAACATCTTAAAACGAAATATCCTTGGTATGATATTAATGAATTAAGTAAAGTTCAATTCTCTTGTAAAGGAAATGTTGAATAGCAAAATATTAGAATATACAGGAAAGATAATTTAAAGATAGGCTTCATGATCAGAGATAATAGATGGAAATTACAAAGTAAACATTTTACTTCATGCAGACTGAAACAAATTGTTTTCCTAATCTTATATTATGGTAACACATACTCTCTCTTCTATCTTTCTGCAAGGTACACATTTCCTACTGCTTACTTATACAGTAAGCAGTATAAGTAATATATTACTTATAAGTCATATAGGTCAAAAATTCAGAATAATTCTAAAACACATTATGCACCATGCTTATTGATTCTTAAAAGAAGTTTTCACTAATTTTACATAAGTTTCTATGATGGGGTAACAGGAATGAGCTCTGAGAATGCTTGCTATCTCTCCAGAAATGCCATGTACAGATTTAGGAAAATTAAAATTTGAAATATTGTTATACATTTATTGGGTTTTTAGATTACTAGATCTAATTGATGAAATAAATTAAACACACAAACACAAAAAACTAGAGCAACTGTTCAAACTGGCATTTTTTTCCTCTTTCTGTACATAGCTTTGGAATGCATTACTTTGGAGAATCAGTTACAAAATACAACAAAAATCATATGCTATATACAAGCAACAGTCATATTTATTGGATACCCAGTAGTTAATAAAATAAATCTTCACAACCTAGATAGGTTCTTGGAAACTGAAACTTTAAGCAAAACAATGTATAATAAAACCATTTTTAATCAATGTTATAAAAAATAACATTACATGATGACATGGTTTGCTGTGCCCCTACCCAAATCTCATCTTAAACTGTAGTACTCCTAATCCCTATGTGTCATGGGAGAAGCCTTGTGGGAGGAGATTAGATTATGATTGAGTTCTCACAAGATCTAATGGTTTTATAAGGGGCTTTCTCCCTCTTCACACTGCACTTCTCTCTCCTGCCATGTAAAGAAGGATGTTTTTCTTCCCCTTTTGCCATATTTGTAAGTTTCCTGAGGCCTCCCCAGCCATGCGGAGCTGTGAGTCAGTTAATGCTCTTTTATTTATAAATTACCCAGTCTCTGGCATTTCTTCACAGCAGTGTGAGAATGAACTAATACACGGGAAAAAATATTGTTTCAGAACCTGCTGTATGTTCTTTTGCTTAAAGTCACAGTTTCCAAAAACTGATCAACAATGTTAAGTGAGAACATACTAAAAAGTAGAAATATGTCCTCTTTAAAAATTTTTTCCATGTTATTTTAAAACTCAATTTATGATTATTAGCCTTTACATTATGGATTTGATGTATATTTGAGGTAAGAGTAAATATAAATATTTTTATCAAGTGACATTTTTCCATTGGTTTAAATATTGTCTGAAAATTAACACTTTTTGACTGACTCAACAGACTGTTACAATTTGTTTGCCAGCCACTGACACACACTATAAATTCAGGGAGAAACAATTCTTTCCTTTTAGGAGCTCTTTCTCTTGAATGAGAGAAAAAGCATAAATATCAATATTAAAAATACCTCAGAAAGTAATACACTTCAAAAAATAAACAAAAAAATAAAAACTGCTTTAGTAATTTAAAGAAGCAGGACATTTTGTTTAGCTTGCCTGCTGAAGGGCACATGAGGAATAATATGTAGTGATTCAAATTATAAAAATTTTGGTTTGCATATTAGGTAAAGATTAAGAAGCAGACTCAGAAACTAATACAGAGCCTATCCTAAAATGATTGAAGGCATTTCAAGACCAAACAATTGTGAATGCTACTGGATACCATAGCAGATCATTTCATGAAGTAGGAGATTTCACAATTTATATTTATCACAACTCTCATATTTATGTTTAATGTGCTTAAACTGCACTCCATATTGAGAAAATGAATACTTACACACAACATACAGTTTAGTCTAGCCTTTATATCAACAATTTCTTGCAATGCATTGTTAAATAATTAATATAAAAGCAAGATTTGATTCATATCTGTATTGGCAAATTGATTGAAAGGTGGTGATAGACTCAGAGTGACAACATTGACATTATTATCTTAAGAAATATCTATGAAAAATAATAAGTTTCATGAATTATATAAATGTGTTTAGTATCATCACAGCATAAAGAAAATAATAACACTTAAAAATTTGTTTTCTGATTTGCTTGCTTTGCAATTGTTTTATCAAATATTTGAAAGCTTTTCATTATTTTTCAACCCATAGACATAGAATTAAACACAATAGGTTTTTGATTTAAAACAACTCTAAAATCTCATTAAAGCATCATTCTCTGCAATAGGCTATGACAATAAGTAAGTGTTTTAGAGGTTTTTTAAAATCAAACTGAGATTTTATATTTAGGAAAATAATATATGAAAATAAGTATTTGTAATGATACATTTTATGACAATAATTCTGTCAACCATTATGGCATGGCATTGGACATATTTTGTATTCTGCATTGGATAAGGATGTCACAATATAAAGTCAAACACAGTGAATATAAATTACCATATGTGAAATTTCTAAGGAGAGGAAAGGTTTGGACTAAAATCTATGAGCTAGAGACAATTATTCTATAATTACTTTTGCTTCAGGAATCAATGTATTATAGGGGTGTGTGTGTGTGTGTGTGTGTGTGTGTGTGTGTAAAAGCCACCTTATTTTTAAGGACGGGTGAGTTATACATAAATAACTGTCTAACTCAATGACTCAGAGGCAGCACAGATTCAATTACTGTGGTATAAGCATAGGAATACTCTATGCGAGGTCTGGGACACAATCCAAAAAATAAAAGTACTATTCTGTATCCATGGATATGTAGGTTATTATTCTCAGTCAATAGAAGATAACTCAATATGCCCAGAATTTTGGTAGACAAAGAGGTTAAACATAAAACCATTAGTGGGGAATGGTGATCATTTAACTTAAATATCAAATCAAATCCTTTGCAATTTGGTTAGAAGAATAAATTTATCACTGCTGCTAAAGTGCAGTATACTGTGTGCTATAGACTTCTTTGCAGAAAACAATGACACATGTTTAATATATATTCATACTGTAGAGTGATTTCCTATTGCAAATGATTGGAAAACACTTCTGGCATCCTAATGTTCCTGTGCTGATGGGCTCTTCTGTTGTTCAATGTGTCTAAAGCAATAAAATCAGCTTGTAAGCTTTGCCTCAGCAGCTGAGCACTGCATGCGTTCAGGTCATTATGGCAGTAGGGATGCTCAGTTGGGAAAATGGTGTATAAATAACTGACAACATGAGCGAAGTCTGATTTTACTGGCCAGTTACTATTTTTAGGATCCCCTTGCATTTGAAAAGATGTATGCTCCTGAGGAATTGAGTGTAAGAGCATGAATGCTAACTCCACTCTGACAACACAAAAGCCATTGCTAGGAAATGGTTGTTTTAGAAATGAGTTTCGAAAATCAAAGTAGTTCTTTTTTTAATGTAAGTATACTGTACGTTTTGTTAAATATCACTATGGGAACATTTAATAAAATTCCCTCAAAATCTAAATCTCAGGGCAAGTCAACACTAGTTTTGCATTAATATTACATGCTATTTACTAGTGCTGTACTTTTGATGCATTCTCTACCACTTTAAGAATTTTTATTTCATTATTTTTAAAAATTTACTTTTAGTGCATACATACTGTCATTTCCTCTCTCTCTTCTTCTCTGTTTTCTCCCCACTCTCTCTCACAAACATAAACACAAACCGCCCATAAACATATTCAATATTTTTGACAAATGTAGAATTCAAATAGGTATACATGTATACGCTTATATTTACTATATGTGACTTTTGTACAATCGTATTTCACAGTCTACAAAGCAACATTGGCATACTTCCAAGCCAATTAAGTATTTTAGCTCTTAATTAAGTAAAAAGAAACAAGCTTATTTTGTCAAATAATAGCACATATTTTATATAATCTATAATTACATATTTTAGTAAGGTTTTCTTTACTTAAGAAATAAAGCATATGATGGAATTATACTTATCTATTTATTTGTATTATTTTCTGGGCTTGGAACATTTAGGATTTGATAAATATTAACGTAAGATCATTGAGGCACCTAACTGAAATTCGTAAGTATAAAAATGCGAATGCTATATACATAAATATGCCCTAACAGAATTAATCATTTTCTTAATTCCAATATGATAGACTTCTTGGTACTTTATTCTAGGCATTTCTTAGATGATTGATAAATGATGTTGATTAGTGCCACTTCTCCTGTGACCAACTACCATTTTTTAGCATCTACTATGTGAGAGATGCTAATCTAACTGTTCACAAAATAATTTCTAATTGTCAGACCAACTGTAAATGTGATAGTGTCCTTTTTATACAAATGTGGAGGACGATGTAGTTCAAGAGCAACAATCTTAATCTATATTCACAGAACTACCAAGTTAGTAAGCCAGGATTGTAATGCAAAGCTTTATGGCCCTAAAACCGTGCTATTTTAAAAATTGTCCTGCTACCAAAGGTTGATTTAATTTGACTTTTACTTTTAAATAATTTTATAATTCATCTGAAACCTGATCATAATCGCTCATCATTATCTCTTACCATGGACAAAATGCATTTTCAAAACTAGCCACAACCATATATAGTGTGCATTTGTGACTCATGTTGGCCAATGAGTATTACAAAGGTGAATGTGAAAAGTTCCATGCACAAATAAACACACTGAAAATTGTAATGAATAATAGTGATGTATATTTATATATAGAAAGAGATTCATAAATGCTATAAAGGAGAAATTAATTTTGACATGTATTCTGACAAGTTTTATAAGAGGTTTAGTTTACAGATGAGTGAAATTTCAACACATGGTGTGGTTACAAGAGAGGAAAAAGTAAAGACTTTAAGCAAAGACACTAAAGTTCGGAAACACTGAAAATGGCAAATCTGGTTGAAACACAGTTTTGCTTTGCAGCGGTTTTTATTGTAAGTTGTAATAGTAATACCACGATAAAACTCTAAACCCATCTTTTCTTCTTTCCTCCTTCTTCTGAAAATACTAAAGGTGATGACTACATATACTACTAAAATTATATATTCTGTAATATAAACCCGCTTTCATACATACCTTAGGTTATGTTTATAACTCCATAATACCTTAATATATAAAAATTACTTTACTGGCCTATTGACTATTGTTATGATTGAAACTACCTGAACTCTAAAACTAATTTTATTTGATTATTAGAAACTTTAAGAAAGAATTAAACTTGGCAAGAAATTAAACCTATTAAAGAATGTGTAAATATATAGATTATTTGTTAAATATTAACTACTACCTGCTATATGTTCTCTTAGCATTTTGTACCTGCCCTTAATATATAATGTATGCAACTCCAATTGTAATTATTTAATTTAAATTTTTGTTGCTCACCCAAAATATAATCTCCTTTATAACCACCATTCCACATGTTTCCTTTCTTTAGATTACTAGGCCCAAATATAATGCCCATCGTAGTTTTATCTCTTTAAAAGACATAAGATTGATGCATGTTTGGTAATGTCTTGTTACACTAAGAAAGAATAATGTTTTCTCTGAAAGCAGAAGTATTGCCATATTTCCTACAGAAATATAATCCACACATATATGACTCTGTACCAAATACATCTGATTTATGAAATATCTTACTTGCAGCTTTTAAATATGCAAAAAAATTTCAAAATGATGTTTTATAGGGTTATATTATTGTAAATAAATATGCACACCTCCTTTACATAAATGTCTACAGAAATATTTGAAAGCATTCTGTTTTGAAGAAAAAGACATCATTTACTACTGTTAAAATAAGTATAATAAGTTTAACACAATGGAAAATGTGAAGGAAACTAGTAAGTTTAAAGTATCACTAAGAGGCCAGGCTCGGTGGCTCACTTTATCTGACAATATAGGTTGTGATTTTTTCTTACTATTATGTTTAATATATCTTTATATGTATAATAGTTATACATACAGGTAGCACACACACAAACATACGTATATTTTTGTTTTAGACTAGGTACACAGAATTTAGATAATCATGCTTCTTAATTAAGTATATCATCAATATCAATTAATGTAAACCCATCTCATTTTCATCTTTCCCGAATTATTCATTTCCAGTCCCATTTTTTTCTCTCACTAAACGCACATACCCTAATGTGAATTTTGTTGCCTCATAACATTTTATAGATGTTTTTGTTTATACATGTTTATGCATATTTTACTTAAAATTTTCATAACTGTTATTACTCTTTAGATATCATTCTGTTTCTCACTTTTCTCTCTGAACTCTATGTCAGAAAACCTACATAGTTAATACAACTTATGTATATTTACATTTATAAATGTAATATTATTTCTCAGGATTTCCTAATTGAGCAAACAATTGGAGTAGAACCTTTTTTCTCCTGACATTTTAAACTACTGCCCCTAAGTTTAACTTCGGCTTCAGTCATACATTCCTTTGGTCCAAGATCACTTGTCATATTTCTCTTTCCTTTCCACTCTTTTTCTCTTCCCCAAATCCCTCATCCTTTTCTGTTTGTTTAGAGAACTCGCCTCCAAACATTACTTCTTTATTTGAGGCTGATTTTATCATTAATGAACTAAAAAGTGAAGCAAATTAAGTTTTAAATTGTACACACACACATCCCAACACACATACACACACACA
Organism: Homo sapiens; assembly: GCF_000001405.40. NCBI lineage: Eukaryota > Metazoa > Chordata > Mammalia > Primates > Hominidae > Homo > Homo sapiens. The sequence goes on along the minus strand of NT_187536.1, from coordinate 227,664 downwards.
CACACATCCCAGTATACAGAATCAGAGTCTTAAAGAAAAGGCAGGTAGAGAATTGATCCAAGGACAGAATTTTGCCAAAATGACCCAGTGGTCTCCCTTGTTTTGCTCTGCACCAACCATGTTGCTACATCTTGAGACTGGATTCCCTTATAGGTGCAACAACAATTTGGGCTATGTTTCCCCACTCATACATCTGAACAAGAAAGGCTGTCTTCCTCAGGCTGTGTATTCATAGTAAGAAATATTTTCATAGTAAGAAGCCCCCTTTCCAGGGAGGCTCTGTCAAATTTGTCCTCAGGTTTAATTAATTAAATTTTCTTAGGCCTGCCTTTTTGTAAGCCAGTTACTGGTAAGAGGAAATAGGTTTTCCAGAATAAGACTAGATTGTTAAGAACCTACCAATTAGTTGAGAATGTGAGTAAAGCAAACACGTGGAATTGTGAGTCAATTAAACCTCTTTCCTTTATAAATTACCCAGTTTTAGGTATATCTTTATTAGCAGTATGAGAACTGACTAATACACTCACCTACTCTCCTCCCTCACTTTGTTATTCTATCAAAGGACAGATGAGATCACTGATACAGTCAACGTACTGTTCCATCTTTTGAGCAGAGAAGGTGAAGAATGCCTGGACAGGCAAAGGGGAATATCCACCATGGTTTTAGGAAAAGGTAAAAAATATGGGCTTTGCCTATCATACATTCTTAAAAATCCATTGTACTTTTTATTATGGGATACAATTTATGCTCTGCCTCCTATACAGAGTGTAATTCAAAACTGCAGAACATACAACATTAAGGCAGCATATGAATTATAAACTCAGAGTCATTTTTTCTGCTTTCCTTGGGTGACATTCCATCCTTGAGACAATGACAAATTAGATGAGGGAAGGGCTATAGAGCAGAAGGAAATTACCACAAACATAAAACATATTAGTTAATACATTAAAGTAACATCTCCTACTTTGGTAATAATTACTTCAATTTCTATGATAATATTTTCATTAATATTAAAATATTAATATTTTAATATTTTTATATTTATAGGTTTATTAAAATTGGCAGGAATTTTAATTTCATCTAATCTTTAATTTGGTAAATACAGTAGACTATAATTCTGCTATAAAATGGAATGAAGTTTTGATATATCTACAACGTCAATGAACCTTGAAAATATTATGCTAAGTGAAACAGCCAGACGTAACAGGACAACTATTGCATGCTTCTTCAAAACTGCCAAGCTCGTGAAAAATAAGGAAAAGCTGAGAAAATGATGATAGCCAGGCAGTGGTTACTGCAGGCCTTGGGCAAGATCCAGTGTTAGCTGACTTCAAGTCTAACGCAGCACAGTCACAGTGATGGTAGCCACAGGAGGGCTTCTGTCACCCCTCCTCCAACTCTAGGCAGCTCAGCATATATAAATAGATGTCTTTTGTAATGGAAAAAGTAAGGGAAGAATACAAGAGTCTATGCCTTATAATCCAGATAATTCTTCTGGATCTTATCCAAGACCACCAAGGCAGAACTTCTACTACTTCTACAAGTCTGTCTGCAACAGCCACAACATTACTGGGCTTGGGGTGTCCCCTAATATAGACATGGCTGCAGTGGACAAAACTTAGATCGCTATACCCAAGTTACTTTGAATATCTGGAAAGTTTTCTCAGGAAGGATGAGTACAAAAAAGCCCAGACTGCAAAGACTACAATAAACACCTAATTCTTTAATGCCCATGCACTGACAAACATCCACAAGCATCAAGACCAACCAGGAATACATGCACTGGCCAAATGAACTAAATAAGGGACCAATGATCAATAATGGAGCAATAAGGATATGTGACGAACTTTTACCCAGACTATCTACAAAAAGAAAAAAAAAAAGTGGGAAGACTAACATAATACAATCAAAGTTTTAAAAGGAGACATTACAAATGATACCACAGAAATGCAGATGATCACTAGTGGCTGCTATGAGCAACTATATGCCAATAGATTGGAAAACTGAGAAGAAATGGATAAATTCCTAGACACATACAACTTACCAAGATTGAACCATGAATAAATGAAAAAACCTCAGTAAGCCAATAACAAGTAAAGAGATTAAGGCCATAAAACTTCCCCCCCAAAAGAAAACCCAGATAATGATGTCTCACTGCTGTATTTTCCCAAACATTAAAAAAAAAACTACTGCTAATACTACTCAAACTATTCAAAAAAATAGAAGACAAGTGAATACTTCCAAACTAATACTACAAGGCAGGTATTACCTTAGTACAAAAACCAGATGAAGACACATCAAGAAAACTACAGGCCAATATCCATGACTACTACAGATGCAAAATTATTATCAAAATACTAGTAAAGTGAACCCAACAAAACATTTAAAAGATCATTCATTATGATCAAGTGGGATTAATCCCAGGGGTGCAAGGATAACTCATCATATGCAAATCAATCATTGTGATACATCATATCAATGGAATGAAAGACAAAAATAAATATATATGATCATTTAAATTGATGCTAAAAAGCATTTGATACAAGTCAACATTCCTCCATATAAAAACCCTCAAAAAACTGGTTATAGAAGGAACATATGTCAACATAATTAAAGCCATATATGACAGACACACAACTAATATCATACTGAATAGGGAAAAAATGCAAGCCTTTTCTCTAAGATCCGGAACAAGTAAGGATGCCCACCTTCACCACTATAATGCAACATATCACTGGAAGTCCTAGCTAGAGCAATCAGACAAGAGAAAGAAATAAAGGGCATCCAAATGGGAAAGGAATATGTAAAATTATCATTGTTTGAAGATTACATTATTTTATATTTTAAAAAAACTCAAAGACTCAACCAAAAAAGCTATTAGAAGTGATAGACAAATTCAATAAAGTTGTAGGACACAAAATCAATGTATAAAATCAGTAGCATTTTTATATGCCATCAGTGAAAAATCTAAAAACAAATCAAGAACATAATCCAATTTACAGTAGGTACAAATAAAATAAAAATACATAGGAATAAAGTTAATTAAATAAATGAAGGACTCCACATGAAAACTATAAAATGTTGATGAAGGAAGGGCAAAGAACACAAAAAATTAGAAATATAGTCCATGTTCATGAATTGGAAGAATCAATATTGTTAAAATTTCCATACAATCCAATGTAATCTACAGGTTCAGTGTAATGCCTGTCAAAGTTTCAATGTCATTCTTAAAAGAAATAGAAAAAAGAGTCCTAAAATTTATGTGGAACCACAAAAGATGCAGAGGCCAAATGTGTTCTGAACAAAAAAACAAAACTGGAGGACTCAAATGACCTGATTTCAAGTTATAGAACAGAGCTATAGTACCCCAAACAGCAAGGTATGGGCATAAAATCAGACAAATAGAGCAATGGAACAGAATAGAAAACCTAGAAACAAATCCAATCATCTACATTGAACTAATTTTTGACAAACGAGCCAAGAACACACATTGGTGGAAAGGCCAGTTTCTTCAATAAATGGTGCTGGGAAAATTGGATATCCTGAAGCAGAAGAATATAACTAGACCCATATGTCTTGCCATACACAAATTAAATCAAAATGCATTAAGGCCCTAAATATTAAGACCTGAAAGGGTGAAATGACTAAAATAAAACGTTGAGGAAACTCTCCAGAACATCAGACTGGGCCGAGAATTCTTGAGTAATACCACCAAAATACAGATAATCAAAGCAAAAATAGAGAAAAGGGATCATGTCAAGTTAAAAATCTTCTACATAGCAAAGAAAACAAAAAAGTTAAAACTCACAGAATGGGAGAAAATATTTGCAAAGTATCCACCAGACAATGGATTAATAAATCGAATATAAAAGGAAATCAAACAACTCTATAGGAAACAATTCTAGTAATCCAATTTTTTAAAATGGCAAAAGAGCTGAATAGACATTTCTTGAAAGAAGACATGAAAATGCTGAGCGGTTATATGAAAATGTCCTCTACATCACTGATCATCAGAAAAATGCAAATAAAATCTACAATAAGATACCATCTCCCACTTATGAATGAGAACATATGGTGTTTGGTTTTCTTTTCCTGTGTTAGTTTGCTGAGAATCATGGTTTCCAGCTTAATCCATGCCCCTACAAAGGACATGAACTCATCCTTTTTTATGGGTGCATAGTATTCCATGGAGCATATTTGCCAACTTTTCGTTATCCAGTCTATCATTGATGGGCATTTGGGTTGGTTCCAAGTTTTGCTATTGTGAACAGTAAACATATGTGTGCATGTCTTTTTATAGAAGAATGACTTATAATCCTTTGGATATATACCCAGTAATGGGATTGCTGGGTCAAATGGTATTTCTGGTTCTAGATCTTTGAGGAATTGCCATACTGTCTTCCACAATGGTCGAACTAATTTACACTCCCACCAACAGTGTAATGTGTTCCTATTCCTCTGCATCCTCTCCAGCATCTGTTGTTTTCTGACTTTTTAATAATTGCCATTCTAATTGGCGTGAGATGGTATGTCATTGTGGTTTTGATTTGCATTTCTCTGATGACCAGTGATGATAAGTTTTTTTTCATATGTTTGTTGGTGGCAAAAATGTCTTCTTTTGAAAAGTGTCTTTTCATATCCTTTGCCCACTTTTTGATGGGGTTGCTTTTTTCTTGTAAATATAAATTTGTTAAGGTATTTATACATTCTGGATATTAGCCCGTTGTTAGATGGATAGATTGCAAAAATTTTCTCCCATTCTGTAGGTTGCCTGTTCACTCTGATGATAGTTTCTTTTGCTGTGCAGAAGCTGTTTAGTATAATTAGATCCCATTTGTCAATTTTGCCTTTTGTTGCCACTGCTTTTGGTGTTTTAGTCATGAAATCTTTGCCCATGCCTATGTCCGGTATTGCCTAGGTTTTCTTCTAGGGTTTTTATGGTTTTAGGGTTTTTTTTTTTTTTTTTTTTTTTTTTGAGACGGAGTCTCACTCTGTCGCCCAGGCTGGAGTGCAGTGGCATGATCTCAGCTACATTGCCTTGGTTTTGCAGAGAAGGGAAAAACACCCTTCTCTGCCCCTGCTGGTCTCCCACTGGATTGTGTGCTTCCCAAGTCCACTGGCTCTGCGCCTAGCCCAGCAATATAACTTGCCCAGGAATTGCAGTCCTTGTGGCCTAGAGTGCCTTTCATGTTTGCTTGGGACCCCAGACCAGTTTAGTCCATGGTGGAGAGGCTTACCAGAACTCAGGTTCTGACAACTGGGATGGGCAATTCCCAGTGGCTAGGGTTGGTCTAAATACTCCTTCCATAGGCATGAGCTGAGTATTGCATCATGTGGCTTTCCACTAGGACAGAGCAGCACTGAGTTCCAATACAATGTCCCACAGTAACTGCACTTTCCCTCCCCCAAGAACGCATATTATCTTTCCGTTTCAGGATGCCAGTGTTGGGGGCTGGGGGAGGGGTGGCATGAACAATTCAAGGTTTTATTTCCTATTCTCTTCAGTGCCTTTTTCAGTAATATGAACTTAATACCAGGTACTTTGATTGTTTACCTGACTTTCAGTTCTTATGAAGGTGCTTTTTTTTTTTTTTTTTTTTTTTTTGAGACGGAGTCTCACTCTGTGGCCCAGGCTGGAGTGCAGTGGCGCAATCTCGGCTCACTGCAAGCTCCGCCTCCTGGGTTCACGCCGTTCTCCTGCTTCAGTCTCACGAGTAGCTGGGACTACAGGCGCCTGCCACCACGCCCAGCTAATTTTTTGGGTTTTTTTCTATTTTTAGTAGAGACGGGGTTTCACCGTGTTAGACAGGATGGCCTCGATCTCCTGACCTCGTGATCTGCCCGCCTCAGCCTTCCAAAGTGCTGGGATTACAGGCGTGAGCCACCTCGCCCGGCCTCATGAAGGTGTTTTTTAATGTGGAGAGTTGTTCAATTTGGTGTTCTTGAGGGGACAATGATCAGTGGAGGCTTCTATTCAGCCATCTTTCTCCACCTATCTATGCTGACATTTTATGATGCTCAATAAATTTTTCATGACTGAGAGTCATAAGCTTCTTGGAGATGGTAGTGCAGGCTTTTAGTATGTTTTTTACGTGGTAACCATTGTAAAACATTCTTATGATTAGGTTACCAACCAAGACAGATTACCATGTGTCTCTGATTTTGGTATACTTGTATTAAAAGGTTAAATTGAAAGATATTGTAGAGAGGAGAATCATAGAATATTTACCAGGAATTGTGCACACCCATCTACATGTGCTGAGCTGAATTAGGAGATATTCCTGGTATTCTTCAATACATTTTAATACCCTCAATCATGACATTTAATTTCAGATATCACATCTTTATTTTTATGTTATTTTTCCCCATTTTTTATGGCTTTCCTCTCAATGTTGCCCATTTTTAACAATTCTAAGTAGTGAAATCCTGCTGTGGAAGAAACATTTTCCATAAGTCTATGATTATTTTTGTATTTTCATGTTTATGGCTGGGAATTCATAAGGCATACTATTTTTAAAAGTGTAGGTGGATATGTTTACCTTGTTTTGTGGTCAATGTTGCTCAAAATAATTTGTATATTAACTGATAGTTGTATAAAGATTTCATAATAATGCTGTAGTGTAAATAAAATTTATTCCAAATAATGTTAAGATTTATATGAACAAATTATCCAGTATTTTTCTATGACAACTATTTTTTTCCCTTTATTTCTTCTAAAAAAAAAAAGCAGGATACATATGCAGAACGTTCAGGTTCGTTACATAGGTATATATGTGCCACGGTGGTTTGCTAAACCTATTGATCTGTTCTCTAAATTCCCTCCCCTAACTCTCCACCCCACAACAGGCCCTGGTGTGTGTTGTTTCCCTTTCTGTGTCCATGTGTTCTCAATGTTATGCTCCCACTTATGAGTGAGAACATGCAGTGTTTGGTTTTCTGTTCCTGTGTTAGTTTGCGAAGGATAGTGGCTTTCAGCTTCATCCATGTCCCTGCAAAGGACATGATCTCATTCATTTTTATGGCCACATAGTATTCCATGGTGTATATGTACCACATTTTCTTTATGCAGTCTACCATTGATGGGCATTTTGGTTGGTTCCATGTCTTTGCTATTGTAAATAGTGCTGCAATAAACATACGTGTGCATGTGTCTTTATAAAAGAATGATTCATATTCCTTTGGGTATATACCCAGCACAGTAATAGAATTGCTGGGTCAAATGGTATTTCTGCTTTTAGATCCTTGAGGAATCACCATACTGTCTTCCACAATGGTTGAACTAATTTATACTCCCACCAAAAGTGTAAAAGCATTCCTATTTCTCCGCAGCCTTGCTGGCATCTATTTTTTCTGACTTTTTAATAATAGCCAGTCTGACTGGCATGAGATGGTATCTCATTGTGGTTTTGATTTGCATTTCTCTGATGATCAGTGATGTTGAGCTTCTTTTCACCTTTGTTGGCCACAAAAATGTCTTGAGAAGTGTCTGTTCATATCCTTTGCCCACTTTTTGATGGGGTTGTTTGTTTTTTCTTGTGGTATGTTTAAGTTCCTTGTAAATTCTGTATATTAGAACTTTGTCAGATGGGTAAATTGCAAAAATTTTCTCCCATTCTGTAGGTTGCCTGTTCACACTGATGATAGTTTCACCTGCTGCGTAGAAGGTCTTTAATTAGATCTCATTTTTCAATTTTGGCTTTTATTGGAATTGCTTTTGGCATTTTTGTCATGAAGTCTACCCATGCCTATGTCCTGAATGGTATTGCTTAGGTTTTCTCCTAGGTTTTTTATGGTTTTGGGTTTTACAATTAAGTGTTTAATCCATCTTGAGTTAATTTTTGTGTCGGTGTAAGGAAGGGGTCCAGTTTTAGTTTTCTGCATATGGCTAGCCAGTTTTCCCAGCACAATTTACTGAATAGGAGATCCTTTCCCCATTGCTTGTTTTTGTCAGGTTTGTTGACGATCAGATGGGTGTAGATGTGTGGTGTTATTTCTGAGGTTTCTGTTCTGCTCTATTGGACAATATATCTGTTTTAGTCCCAGTACCATGTTATTTTTGTTACTGTAACTTTGTAGTGCAGTTTGAATTAAGGTAGCTTAATACCTCCAGCTTTGTTCTTTTTGCTTAGGTTTGTCTTGGCTATTCAAAGTCTTCCTAGATTTCATGAAATTTAAAACAGATTTTCTAATTCTGTGAAAAATGTCAATGGAATTTGATGGAAATAGCATTGAATCTATAAATTACTTTGGGCAGTGTGGCCATTTTCATTATATTGATTCTTCCTATCCATGAGGATGTAATGTTTTATCATTTGTTTGTGTCCTCTCTTATTTCCTTGAGCAGTGGTTTGTAGTTCTCCTTGAAGAGGTACTTCACAACCCTTGTTAGCTGTATTCCTAGGTATTTTATTCTCCTTGCAGTGATTGTGAATGGGAGTTCATTCATGATTTGGCTCTCTGCTTGTCTGTTGTCAGTGTAAAGGAATGCATGTGATTTTTGCACATTGATTTTGTATCCTGAGACTTCTGAAATTGCTTATTGGTTCAAGAAGTTTTGGGGCTGAGATGATGGGGTTTTCTAAATATAAAATCATATCCTCTGCCAACAGAGACAGCTTGACTTTCTCTCTTCCTATTTGAATACAATTTATTTCTTTCTTTTGACTGATTGCCCTGGCCAGAAATTCCAAAACTATATTGAATAGGAGTGGTGAGAGAGGTCATCCTTCTCTTGTACCAGTTTTCAGAGGGAATGCTTCCAGATTTTGTCCATTCAATATGATATTGGCTGTGGGTTTGTCATAAATAGCTCTTATTATTTTGAGATATGTTCCATCAATACCTAGTTTACTGAGAGTTTTTAACATAAAGGGATATTAAATTTTATCAGACGTGTTTTCTCCGTTTCTTGAGATACTCATGTGGTTTTTGTCTTTGGTTTTGTTTATGTGACGGATTATGTTTATTGATTTACTAATGTTGAACCAGCCTTGCATCCCTGGGATGAAGCTGACTTGATCACGGTGGATAAGTTTTTTGATGTGGTGATGGATTCAGTTTGCCAGTATGTTACTGAGAATGTGTGCATCATTGTTCATCATGGATATTGGCCTCAAGTTTTCTTTTTTTGTTCTATCTCTTCCTGGTTTTGGTATCAGGATGATGCTGGCTTCATAAAATGGGTTAGGGAAGAGTCCCTCCTTTTCAATTGTTTTAAATAGTTTCAGAAAGAATGGTACCAGCTCCTCTTTGTATTTCTCGTAGAATCCACCTGTAAATCCATCTGGTCCTGGGTTTTTTCTTTTGATTGGTAGGCTATTAATTACTGCCTCAATTTTATAGCTTGTTATTGATTTATTCAAGGGTTCAACTTCTTCCTGGTTGATGCAACCCTTGATAGGGTGCATGCATCCAGGAATTTAACCATTTCTTCTAGATTTTCTAGTTTATTTGCATAGAGGTATTTATAATAGTCTCTGATGGTAGTTTGTATTTCTGTGGGATCTGTGGTGATATCTCGTTTTTCATTTTTTATTATGTCTATTTGATTTTTCTCTCTTCTTCTTTATTAGTCTAGCTAGTAATCTATCTATTTTGTTAAATTTTTTAAAAAAACAGCTTCCAGCCGGGTGCGGTGGCTCAAACCTGTAATCCCAGCACGTTGGGAGGCTGAGGCGGGCGGATCACAAGGTCAGGAGATTGAGACCACGGTGAAACCTCATCTCTACTAAAAATACAAAAAATTAGCTGGGCGCAGTGGCGGGTGCCTGTAGTCCCAGCTACTCAGGAGGCTGAGGCAGGAGAATGGTGTGAACCCAGGAGGCGGAGCTTGCAGTGAGCTGAGATGGCGCCACTGCACTCCAGCCTGGGTGACAGAGCGAGACTCCATCTCAAAAAAAAAAAAAAAAACTGCTTCCGAATGTGTTAATTTTTTGGAGGTTTTTCATGTCTCTATCTCTTTCAATTCTTCTCTGATCTTACTTATTTCTTATCTGCTAACTTTTGGATTAGTTTGCTCTTGCCTCTCTAGCCCTTTTTATTGTCATGGTAGTGTGTCAATTTGAGATTTTTTCAGCTTTCTGATGTGGGTATTTAGTGCTATAAATTTCCCTCTTAACACTGCTTTATCTGTGTCCCAGAGATTCTGGTATGTTGTCTCTTTGTTCCCATTGGTTTCAAAGACCTTCTTGATTTCGGCTTTAGTTTCATTATTTACCCAGGAGTCATTCAGGATCAGGTTGTTCAATTTCCATGAAATTGTGTGGTTTTGAGTGAGTTTCGTAACCCTGAGTTCTAATTTGATTGCACTGTATTCTGAGGGGCTGTTTGTTATTATTTCAGTTCCTTTGCATTTGCTGAGGAGTGTTTTACTCCCAATTATGTGGTCAATTTTAGAATAAGTGCCATGTGGCCCTGAGAAGAATGTATACTCTGTTGATTTGGCATAAAGAGTTCTGTAGAAGTCTACTAGGTCCACTTGATCCAGAGTTGAGTACAAGTCCTGAATAACCTTGTTAATTTTCTGTCTTGCTGATCTGTCTAATACTGACAGTGGGGTGTTAAAGTCTCCCACAACTATCGTGTGGGAGTCTAAGTCTCTTTATAGGTCTGTAATAACTTGTTTCATGAATCTGGGTTCTCCTGTATTGGGTTCATATATATTCAGAATAGTTAGCTCTTCTCGTCAAATTACAATTACATTATGCCCTTCTTTGTCTTTTTTGATCATTGTTGGTTTAAAGTCTGTTTTGTCAGGGACTACAATTGCAACCCCTCCTCTTTTTTTGCTTTCCATTTGCTTTTCCTCCATTTTTTTAATTTTAGCCTGTGTGTGTCTTTGCATGTAAGATGGTTCTCCTGAATGCAGCACACCAATGGATCTTGACTCTATTCAATTTGCCAGTCTGTGTCTTTTAATTGGGGCATTTAGCCCATTTACATTTAAGGTTAATATTGTTACGTGTGAATCTGATTCTGTCATCATGATGCTATTTGGTCATTTTGCACCCTAGTTGATGCAGTTTTGTGTAGTGTCATTTGGTCTTTATATTTTGGTGTGTTATTGCAGTGGCTAGTACCAGTTTTCCTTTCCATATTTAGTTATTCTTTCAGGAGCTCTTGCAGGGCAGGCCTGGTGGTCACAAAATCCCTCAGCATTTACTTATCTGGAAAGGATTTTATTTCTCCTTTGCTTGTGAAGCTGAGTTTGCCTGGAAAGGAAATTCTGGGTCAAAAATTATTTTCTTTAAAAATATTGAGTGTTGTCCCCAGTCTCTCCTGGCTTATAAAGTTTCTGCTGAGAGGTCCACTGTTAGTCTTATGGGCTTCCCTTTATAGGTGACCTGGCCTTTTTCTCTGGCTGCCCTTAACAGTCTTTCCTTCAGTTCAACCTTGGAGAATCTTATGATTATGTGTCTTGGGGTTGATCTTCTCATGGAGTATCTTAATGGTGTTCTCTGTATTTCCTGAATTTGCATGTTGACTTGTCTTGCTAGGCTGGGGAAGTTTTCCTGGATAATATTCTGACCTATGTTTTCCAACTTGTTTCTATTCTCCCTGTCTCCTTCTAGTATTCCAATTAATCATAGGTTTAGTACTTTTTATGAAGTCTCATATTTCTTGGAGGCTTTGTTCATTCCTTTTTATTCTTTTTTCTCTGTTCTTGTCTGCAAGTCTTATTTCAGTAAGGTGGTCTTCAAACTCTGATGTCCTTTCTTCCACTTGGTCGATTTGGCTATTGATGCTTGTGTATGCTTTGCGAAGTTCTCATGCTGTGTTTTTCTGCTCCATCCAGTCGTTTATGTTTCACTCTTCATTGGTTATTCTAGTTAGCAATTAGTCTAACATTTTATCAAGGCTCTTAGCTTATTTGTATTGGGTTGGAACATGCTCCTTTAGCTCAGCATAGTTTTCTATTACCCATCTTCTGAAGCCTACTTCTGTCAAGTCGTCCATCTGATCCTCTGTCCAGTTCTGCATCCTTGATGGACAGACACTGTAATCCTGTAATCATTTGGAGGAGAAGAGGCACTCTGGCCTTTTGGGTTTTCAGCATTTTTTGTTGATTCTTTCTCATCTTCGTGAGTTTGTCTAGTTTTGGTCTTTGAGGTTGCTGACCCTTGGATGGGGCTTTTGTGGGGGCCTTTATTGTTGTTGTTGTTGTTGTTGTTGATGACGCTGTTGTCACTTTCTGCTTGTTTGTTTTTCTTTCAATAATCAGATTCCTCTTCTGTAGGGCTGCTACAGTTTTCTGGGGGTTCACTTCAGGCCCCATTCTCTGATTTGCTCTTGTGCCTGAAGGTGTCACTCAAGGAGGCTGGAAAGCAGCAAAAATGAGTGCTTCCTCCTTCTTATGGGACCTCTGACTTCAAGGGTCACCAACCTGATGTCAGTAGGATCACTCCTGTATAGGGTGTGTGAGAATCCCTATTGGAGGGTCTTACCCAGTTGGGTGGCACAGGGAGCATGGCCTATTTAATGAAGCACTTTGTCCCTTGGTGGAGAAGGTGTGTTTCACTGTGAGGAAACCCACTCATCTGGGCTGCCCAGATTCCTCAGAACTACCAGGAGGAGAGGCTACGTCTGCTGGTCCACAGAGACTGCGGCCACCCCTCCCGCTAGGGGCTGAGACCCAGGGAGATCTGAATTCTGTCCCTGAACCTCTGGAGCTATTGGAGATCCTGCAGCAGGAAGCCCTACCCACTGAGGAAGGATGGGTCAAGGTTAGACCTGAAGAGGCACTCTGGCTGCAGACTGCCACAGTGGGTGTGTTGGGCTGTGGGAACAAGGCTTGGGACCAAGCCATCCAGCCTCCCTGACTCCAGCAGGGGGAAAAGCACAGTCTGGAGCTATACAAAATGGGTACTGCCCTTCCCCCTACCCGGGGAGCATACAAAATGGTACTGCCCTTCCCCTTACCCCTTAACCTGTTAGGCAGTTGAAATTCCCAGTGCTGGCTGCTGCCACGCCCACAAGGAGCTCAAATGGCTTAGACAGCAGGCAGCTGCAGCAGTTGCTCGTTGCCCCTCCCCCTAGGAGTTTGGTAGGCTTAAGCAGGTTCCAGCTAAAAGGCTGTAAGAATCTGCATGTTCTGGGGTTGGGACTCTAGGCCCTGGTGGCATGGGCTTGTGAGTGGGATCTTTCCATCCGTGTGGGTTGCACAGTTTCCCCAGCTGGGTATCACACTCACTCACCACCTCCCTTCGCTGAGAGGAAGGGGTTTCCCTTCCCCATGTGGCTCTCAGGTGGGTCACACCACACTGCTCTTCCTTCTCTCTGTGGGTCATGCCAGCTTTCATGTCAGTTTTGACGACAGAACCTGGATACCTTGGTTGCTAGTGAAAGGTTCACATGCTTATTATGGTTTTTGTCGAAGGGAGCCTCCGAATCCTGCTGCTTCTAGTCAGCCATCTTCTATGACAACTATTATACGTAACATTTACTGGGCTTCTGGAATGTACTGAAGAATTGAAATAATGTAAATTATATATAATGTATGGTAGAGCTATTCAGAGTGTAGAATGTAAAATGTAAAGATACTCAAATTGTGATATATGAGGCAGCCAAAGTTTGATATATTAAGTATTGTGACCTGTTTTTACTTAGGAAATATTTGTAACATCCTATGCTCACTTCTCTCCCATATAGCATCACTCCCCAGAACAAAAAGAGTAAGATGGTTGGCCTTAACATTTTGTAAGCTAAGGTCCAGGCATACGTAAGAGAAAATATTGAATCAATAAGTGGTGACAGAGTTAGTTTTCCTTACCTTTGAATAATAGCTCAAATTAGTTTGACTGAGAGAAAGGACAATATAATATAACAAGATCAATAGAGAAGTCACCAGTGTATATATATCTGAATAAAGGGTCTGTGAATTGCAGGGCCCTCTGGAATGAGGTTAAAAGGCCCACAATTCTACACTAAGGAGGTCAGATTAATACCATAAAAAATGGCAAGTCACTGTAAAATATTAAATATGGTAGTAACAGGTTTAAATTTGCATTTTACAATAATAAATATTACTGAAGCATGAAAAATAGAGGAGGACTTGGTTAAAACTAGGGATAGTTAGTAGTCTATCATAAAATCATCAGGAGAAATGGAAGCTTAATAATAAATAAGCAATAAGGAAAGAAAAAAATAAAATGCAGAGTGATTTTTCCAGATTACTTGAGAGGGCTTCATAAAAATAATAGTAGCTAGTATTTATACAGTAGTTTCAATATACCAAGCAATGTGCTAAGCAATGGAGGATAGTACATGTTTAACAACCAGCTCTCCGGGGACACACAGTGTATGTGGAGCAGAATACCTGATTTATAGTTTGTCAAATTTAGTTGTGGAAATACACCTAGTGTGGTCAATGTAAACCTCCCAATGTATTTCCACTCAATGAAAGTTGAGCAGCGATGTGAACAACCTTATCTCACAAGCTGGTATGAGGTGGCTCTAGTATACCACTAGAAGCTTTTTTAGAAGTGTTAATTTTATATCATCAAAAATGTGCCCTTGTAAGCTAGGGTTTCTTAACCTTGACACTAGGACTTTTTGTCAGCTTATTAATGAACGATTGACAAAAATTGTATATATTTAAGGTGTACAACTTTGTGTTTTGATATATGTATACATAAGAAAACGATCACCACATTTAAGCTAATTAACCTATCATCAGCTCATATCATTGTTTTGTTATTGTTGAATGTGCTCAATCTCCTCTAATCTCAGAAGCTAACTGGGCTTTTTTATGCTTGAATGAGACATTATTTATGCTTTGAACCAGATAATTATTTGTGGGGGTCTTATATAAGTGGTAGAATGTTTATCAGCAGAATCTCTAGCCTCTACCCACTATTTAGCAGTAGCATTCCCCATCTCAAGCCCCAAACCATTATGACAACCAAAATATCTCCAGTCATTGTCAAATATTTTCTGGGGAACAGGATTACCCCCATTTGATGGCTACTACTTAAAGATACACCGTATAATTTTCCCATTTTCTCGTTTTTATCTTCTTCTTCTTCATTTTATTCATCTTTTATTTTCTTTTTCATTTTTGCAAATAAAGAAACCAAAGTTTTGAAAAGCTACAGTTACTGATTTGATATATAAACACAGATAGTCTACCTCCAGAGTAAGTAGATAAAAGAGGTATGTATATGAATATAGTTGATATATAAACACAGTCTACCTCCAGAGTAAGTAGATAGATAGAAGAGGTACGTTTATGAATATAGATTAGTGATATACATATATAGACATTAATTGTCATATTATTAGTGTGAAGAATATTATTATTGTGTAGAAACTGAAGTTTTGAAAAGTTACAGAGTTACTAATTTGATATGTAAACACAGATAGTCTACCTCCAGAGTAAGTAGACAGATAAAAGGGATATGTGTATGAATATGGATTAGACATCGATACAGATATATAGTCATTAATTCTCCATATTATTATTATTGAGTGACAACCTGTCATGAATCAAATGGCTCTTATCCTGATGCTCATTTTGCATAGACAGTGACTTTTTCTCCTTCTCTACAAATTTGAGGAATCATAGAATTCTATATGTAGAATTTAACCAGCAGGACCTTGCTACAACTACATCACTAATGTTATAAGAAAATTACAGTTGCATTATTTAAAAAAATCTGTTACTACTAAAAAGGTTACTTATCTAAAAGTTAATACTCCTAGTTTATCAGAAGAATAGAAAGAAGTAGAAGGAGAAAGGTAATAGAAGAAAAGAGAGAAAAAATAATTCGGGAAACTTTATTTAAATATTACAATTTTTCAAAATTTTCAAATACTTTCAATGTATATTTAGAAGTTAGAAAAAACATCATCATAATTCTTAAGAAGCATAAGCTTGAGCATGGGGATCAACTCACCAAATTATTCTACAACATGAGCCATATGGTTTGTCTGCCAAAAAATAGAAAAAGCCTAAAAGAATTTTACTAGAAATAACTTTGTTTTATATGCTCCTTTTTATTAAATAAATCTATTGTACATTGGTTGATAAACATGATTATATATAATGTTCTCTGATTTCCACAATGAAGTTAGAGAGAAGGTTGACTGAAAACAAAAATACCAAGTTCTTCTGCAAACAATATTGTAAGGAGTTGCCCTTGAAGGCAGGTATTCAGTTTTTTTCCTCCCATGTACTGATATTATCTCCATCAAATTTAACATTTCAGACACTCTTTGAAGTGTTAGGTTTGTTTATGAATGTTTGAATTTTAAAAATTTAGCTCATTTTAAGAAGAAGAAATGAAATTATATTTTGGATAGCTTTTTCTATCTCCCTAAGATTTCATGCTTAAACACTGCACTATTTCAATCTTAGCAGTTAGACAAAATAGAATTTTTAAACTCAATTCTTAAAGTAATTCACTCACTATTCTTATTCAACAAAACACTGAAAGCCTTGGCCAGAGTAATCAGGCAAGAGAAAAAAATAGAAAACATCTAATTAGGAAGAAAGGAAGTCAAACTATCCCTGTCAGCAGATGACATGATTCTATACCTAGAAAATCTCACAGTATCTGCCCCAAAGCTCCCTTATCTGATAAGCAACTTCAGCAAAGTTTCAGGATACAGAATCAATACACAAAAATCAGTAGCCCTCCCCTACAGCAACAACATTCAAACTGAGAGCCAAAGCAAGAACACAATTCCATTCATAGTAGCCACAAAAAGAATAAAATCCCTAGGAATACAGCTAACAGTGGAGATGAAAGATCTCTACAATGCTAATTACAAAACGCTACTTAAAGAAATAGAGAGGACACAAACAAATGGAAAAACATTCCATGCTCACGTATAGAAAGAATCAGTATTGTTAAAATGGCCATACTGCTCAAAGCGATTTACAGATTCAATCAAACTAAATTGAATATTCAGTTTGGTATTCCTATCAAACTACCAATGACATTTTTTACAGAACTACAACAAAAACTATTTTAAAATTCATATGGAACCAAAATTTTAAAAAAAGAATGAATAGCCGTGACAATCCTAAGCAAAAAGAAAAAGACACATTATCTGACTTCAAACTACACTACAAAGTTACAGTGACCAAAACAGCATGGTACTAGTGCAAACACAGACACATAGACCAAGGGAACAGAGTAGAGAACTCAGAAATAATAATGCTGCATGTCAGGCCTCTCAGCCCAAGCTAAGCCATCATATCCCCTGTGACCTGCATGTACACATCCAGATGGCCAGTTCCTGCCTTAACTGATGACATTCCACCACAAAAGAAATGAAAATGGCCTGTTCCTGCCTTAACTGATGGCATTATCTTGTGAAATTCCTTCTCCTGGCTCATCCTGGCTCAAAAGCTCCCCTACTAAGCACCTTGTGACCCCCACTCCTGCCTGCCAGAGAACTACCCCCCTTTCCTTTACCTACCCAAATCCTATAGAATGGCTCCACCCCGTCTCCCTTCGCTGACTCTCTTTTTGGACTCAGCCCACCTGCACCCAGGTGAAATAAACAGCCTTGTTGCTCACACAAAGCTTGTTTGGTGGTCTTTTCACATGGATGTGAGTGAAATTTGGTGCCATGACTCAGATCGGGCAAGCTCCCTTAGGAGATCAATCCCCTGTCCTCCTGCTCTTTGCTCCGTGAGAGAGAGCCACCTATGACTTCTGGTCCTCAGACCAAGCAGCCCAAGCAAGATCTCACCAATTTTAAATCTGGTAAGCAGCCTCTTTTTACTCTCTTCTCCAACCTCCCTCACTATCCCTCAACCTCTATCTCCTTTCAATCTTGGTGCCACACTTCAATCTCTCCCTTCTCTTAATTTCAATTCCTTTCATTTTCTGGTAGAGACAAAGGAGGCACATTTTATCCGTGGACCCAAAACTCTGGCGCTGGTCATGGACTAGGGAAGGCAGCCTTCCCTTGGTGTTTAATCATTGCAGGGACACCTCTCTGATTATTCACCCAGGTTTCAGAGGTGTCAGACCACGCAGGGACGCCTGTCTTGGTCCTTCACCCTTAGCGGCAAGTCCTGCTTTTCTGGGGGAGGGGCAAGAACCCTTCAACACCTTCTCTTTCACCCTTAGTGGCAAGTCCCGCTTTTCTGGAGGAGGGGCAGGAATCCCGACCTAATATCTCTGCACCCCGATCCCTTATTTCCATGCCCCAACCTCTTATCTCTGTGCCCCAACCCCATATTTCCACGCCCTGACCCCTTCTCTGCTTTTCTGGAGGGCAAGAACCCCCCACCCCTTCTCTGTGTCTCTACTCTCTTTTCTCTGGGCTTGCCTCCTTCACTATGCACAAGCTTCCACCTTCCATTCCTCCTTCTTCTCCCTTAGCCTGTGTTCTTAAGAACTTAAAACCTCTTCAATTCTCACCTGACCTAAAATCTAAGCATCTTATTTTCTTTTGCAATGCCGCTTGACCCCAATACAAACTCGACAGTAGTTCCAAATAGCCGGAAAATGGCACTTTCAATTTTTCCATCCTACAAGATCTAAATAATTCTTGTCAAAAAATGGCCAAATGGTCTGAGGTGCCTGACATCCAGGCATTCTTTTATACATCGGTCCCTCCCTAGTCTCTGTTCCCAATGCAACTCGTCCCAAATCTTCCTTCTTTCCCTCCCACCTGTCTCCTCAGTCCCAACCCCAAGCATCACTGAGTCTTTCTAATCTTCCTTTTCTACAGACCCATCTGACCTCTCCCCTCCTCCCCAGGCTGCTCCTCACCAGGCTGAGCTAGGTCCCAATTCTTCCTCAGCCTCCACTCCTCCACCCTATAATCCTTTTATCACCTCCCCTCCTCACACCAGGTCTGGCTTACAGTTTCATTCCCTGACTGGCCCTCCCCAACCTGCCCAGCAATTTACTCTTAAAAAGTTGGCTGGAGTTAAAGGCATAGTCAAAGTTAGTGGTCCTTTTTCTTTATCCCAAATCAGATAGCATTTAGGCTCTTTTTCATCAAATATAAAAATCCAGCCCAGTTCATGACTCGTTTGGCAGCAACCCTGAGATGCTTTACAGCCCTAGACCCTAAAAGGTCAAAAGGCCGTCTTATTCTCAATATACATTTTATTACCCAATCTGCTCCCGATATTAAATAAAACTCCAAAAATTAAATTCCAGCCCTCAAACCCCACAACAGGACTTAATTAACCTCGCCTTCAAGGTGTACAATAATAGAGTAGAGGCAGCCAAGTAGCAACATATTTCTGAGTTGCAATTCCTTGCCTCCACTGTGAGACAAACCCCAGCCACATCTCCAGCACACAAGAACTTCCAAACACCTAAACCGCAGTGGCCAGGTGTTCCTCCAGAACCTCCTCCCCCAGGAGCTTGCTACAAGTGCCAGAAATCTGGCCACCAAGCCAAGGAATGCCTGCAGCCCGGGATTCCTCCTAAGCTGTGTCCCATCTGTGGGGGACCCCAGTGGAAATCAGACTGTTCAACTCACCTGGCAGCCACTCCCAGAGCCCCTGGAACTCTGGCCCAAGGCTCTCTGCTGACTCCTTCCCAGATCTTCTTGGCTTAGCGGCTGAAGACTGACACTGCCCGATTGCCTCGGAAGCCCTGTAGACCATCACGGACGCCGAGCTTTAGGTAACTCTCACGGTGGAGGGTAAGTCCGTCCCCTTCTGAATCAATACGGAGGCTACCTACTCCACATTACTTTCTTTTCAAGGGCCTGTTTCCCTTGCCTCCATAACTGTTGTGGGTATTGACAGCCAGGCTGCTAAACCTCCTAAAACTCCCCAAATCTGGTGTCAACTTAGACAATACTCTTTTAAGCACTCCTTTTTAGTTATCCCCACCTGCCCAGTTTCCTTATTAGGCTGAGACACTTTAACTAAATTATCTGCTTCCCTGACTATTCCTGGAGTACAGCTACATCTCATTGCCGCCCTTCTTCCCAATCCAAAGCCTCCTTTGCTTCCTCCTCTTGCATCCCCCCACCTTAACCCACAAGTATAAGATATCTCTACTCCCTCCTTGGTGACCAATCATGCACCCCTTACCATCTCATTAAAACCTAATCACCCTTGCCCTGCTTAATGCCAATATCGCATCCCACAGCATGCTTTGAAAGGATTAAAGCCTGTTATCACTCGCCTGCTACAGCGTGGCCTTTTAAAGCCTATAAACTCTCCTTACAATTCCCCCATTTTACCTGTCCTAAAACCAGACAAGCCTTACAAGTTAGTTCAGGATCTATGCCTTATCAACCAAATTGTTTTGCCTATCCACCCCATGGTGCTAAACCCATATACTCTCCTATACTTGATAACTCCCTCCACAATCCATTATTCTGTTCTGGATCTGAAACATGCTTTCTTTACTATTCCTTTGCACCCTTCATCCCAGCCTCTCTTTGCTTTCACCTGGACTGACCCTGACACCCATCAAGCTCAGCAAATTACCTAGGCTTTACTGCTGCAAAGCTTCACAGATAGCCCCCATTACTTCAGTCAAGCCCAAATTTCTTCCTCATCTGTTACCTATCTCAGCATAATTCTCAGAAAAACACATGCACTCTCCCTGCTGATCGTGTCCAGCTAATCTCCCAAACCCCAATCCCTTCTACAAAACAACAACTCCTTTCCTTCCTGGGCATGGTTGGATACTTTCACGTTTGGATACCTGGTTTTGCCATCCTAACAAAACCATTATATAAACTCACAAAAGGAAACCTAGCTGACCCCATAGATCCTAAATCCTTTCCCCACTCCTCTTTCCATTCCTTGAAGACAGCTTTAGAGGCTGCCCCCATCCTAGCTCTCCCTGACTCATCCCAACCCTTTTCATTACACACAGCCGAAGGGCAGGGCTGTGAAGTCGGAATTCTTACACAAGGACCGGGATCACGTCCTGTAGCCTTTTTGTCCAAATAACTTGACCTTACTGTTTTAGGCTGGCCATCATGTCTCCATGCAGCGGCTGCTGCCGCCCTAATACTTTTAGAGGCCCTTAAAATCACAAAATATGCTCAACTCACTCTCTACAGCTCTCATAATTTCCGAAATCTATTTTCTTCCTCACACCTGACACGTATACTTTCTGCTCCCTGGCTCCTTCAGCTGTACTCACTCTTTGTTGAGTCTCCCACAATTACCATTGTTCCTGGCTCGGACTTCAATGTGGCCTCTCACATTATTCCTGATACCACACTTGACCCTCATGACTGCATCTCTCTGATCCACCTGACGTTCACCCCATTTCCCCACATTTCCTTCTTCCCTGTTTCTCACCCTGATCACACCTGGTTTATTGATGGCAGTTCCACCAGGCCTAATCGCCACATGCCAGCAAAGGCAGGCTATGATATAGTACAAGCCACTAGCCTGCCTCTTAGAACCTCTCATTTCCTTTCCATCATGGAAATCTATCCTCAAGGAAATCACTTCTCAGTGTTCCATCTGCTATTCTGCTACTTCTCAGGGATTATTCAGGCCCCCTCCCTTCCCTACACATCAAGCTCAGGGATTTGCCCCCACCCAGGACTGGCAAATTAGCTTTACTCAACATGCCCCGAGTCAGGAAACTAAAATACCTCTTGGTCTAGGTAGACACTTTCACTGGATAGGTACAGGCCTTTCCCACAGGGTCTAAGAAGGCCACCACGGTCACTTCTTCCCTTCTGTCAGTCAAAATTACTCGGTTTGGCCTTCCCACCTCTAGGCAGTCCAATAGTAGACCGGCCTTTATTCATCAAATCAGCCAAGCAGTTTTTCAGGCTCTTGGTATTCAGTGAAACCTTTATATCCCTTACAGTCCTCAGTCTTCAGGAAAGGTAGAATGGACTAATGGTCTTTTAAAAACACACCTCACCAAGCTCAGTCACCAACTTAAAAAGGACTAGACAGTACTTTTACCTCTTTCTTTTCTCAGAATTTAGGCCTGTCCTCAGAATGCTACAGGGTACAGCCCATTTGAGCTCCTGTATGGACGCTCCATTTTATTAAGCCCCAGTCTCATTCCAGACATCAGACCAACTTGGACTGTGCCCCAAAAACTTGTCATCCCTACTATCTTCTGTCTAGTCATACTCCTATTCACCGTTCTCGACTACTCATATATGCCCTGCTCTTGTTTACACTGCCGGTTTACACCGTTTCTCCAAGCCATCACAGCTGATATCTCCTGGTGCTATCCCCAGACTGCCACTCTTAACTCTTAAAGTAAATAAATAATCTTTGCTGGCAAGGCTATGCTGAACCTCCTTAGGCACTCTCTAATTAGATGTCCTAAGTCCTCCCAATTCTTAGTCCTTTAATACCTGTTTTTCTCCTTCTCTTATTCCCTTTAGTTTTTCAATACATACAAAACCGTATCCAGGCCATCACCAATAATTCTAAATGACAAATATTTCTTCTAACAGTCCCACAATGTCACCCCTTACCACAAAATCTTCCCTCAGCTTAATCTCTCCCACTCTAGGTTCCCATGCTACCCCTAATCCCGCTCAAAGCAGCCCTGAGAAACATCGCCCATTATCTCTCCATACTATCCCCCCAAATTTTCGCCATCCCAACACTTTACCACTATTTCGTTTTATTTTTCTCATTAATATAAGAAGACAGGAATGTCAGGCCTCCGAGCCCAAGCTAAGCCATCATATCCCCTGTGACCTGCACATCCACATCCAGATGGCCGGTTCCTGCCTTAACTGATGACATTCCACCACAAAAGAAATGAAAATGGCCTGTTCTTGCCTTAACTGATGGCATTATCTTGTGAGATTCCTTCTCCTGGCTCATCCTGGCTCAAAAGCTCCCCTACTGAGCACCTTGTGACCCCCACTCCTGCCTGCCAGAGAACAACCCCCCTTTTTCCTTTACCTACCCAAACCCTATAAAACAGCCCCACCCCTATCTCCCTTCACTGACTCTCTTTTCGGACACAGCCCTGCACCCAGGTGAAACAAACAGCCTTGTTGCTCACACAAAGCCTGTTTGGTGGCCTCTTCACAGGGACGCAAGTGAAACTGCACACCTAAAAATATCTGATCTTTGACAAAGTCAACAAAAACAAGCAATGAGGAAATGACTCCCTATTCAATAAATGGTGCTGGTATAACTGTATAACCATATGCAGAAGATTGAAACTGGACCCCTTCTTTACATATATACAAAAAAAAACTCAAGATAAAGACTTAGATGTATGACTTCAAACTATAAAAACCCTAGATGATAACCTAGAAAATACTATTCCTGATATAGAAGCTGGCAAAAATTTCATGACAAAGACTCCAAAAACAATTGCAACAGAAACAAAAATTGACAAATACAACCCAATTAAATTAAAGAGCTTCCGTTCAGTAAAAGAAGCTATCCCCAGAGTAAACAGACAACTACAGAATTGAAGAAAATATTTTCAAACTATGCATGACAAAGGTTTAATATCCAGAAACTATGAGGAACTTAAATTTATAAGCAGAAAAGAAACTATCCCATTAAAAAGTGGGCAAAGGATATGAACATGCACTTTTTTCCAAAGAAGACATACACATGGCCTTCAAGCAAATGAAAAATACTCAAAATCACTAATCATTAGAGAAATCAAATCAAAACCACAATGAGATACTATCTCATACGAGTCAGAATGGCTTTTATTAAAAAGTCATAAAATAACAGATGCTGGTAAAGTTGCACAGAAAAGGGAATGCTCATACACTGCTGATGAACGTAAATTAGTTCAGCCACTGTGGAAAGCAGTTTGGCAATTTCTCAGATAACTCAAAGCAGAATTACCATTCGACCCATCAACCCCCATATACAGTATATACCCAGATGAATATAAATCATCCTACCATAAAGACACATGGACCTGTAGGTTGATCACAGCACCATTCACAACAGCAAAGACATTGAGTCAACCTAAATGCCCATGTATGGTAGACTGGATAAAGAAAATGTGATGCATATACACCATGGAATGCTATGCTTTCATAAAAGAAGTATATTGTGTTCCTTGCAGCAATGTGGATGGAGCTGGAGACCATTATTCTAAGCGAATGAACACAGGAACAGAAAAACAAATACCACAGGTTCTTAGTTATAAGTGGGATCTAAACACTGATTACGGATGGACACAAAAAAGGGAACAGCAGACACTGGGGCTAATTGAGGGTGGAAGGACGGAGGAAGGTGGGAGTCGAAAAACTGCCTATGAGGTACTACGCTTATTACCTAGGTGATGAAATAATCTGTACACTAAGCCCCTGCAACACACAGTTTACTGATATAATAAACCTGCACATGTTTCCCTGAACCAAAAATAAAAGTTAAAAATAAATAAATCAAATTTTAATGCTTGATTGCGCGTACTACAAAAGTATTCTCCAAAGTGGTTAAAGTAGTATGCACTACCATCAGTAATGTATATGAGTACTTATTTTATTGTGGTCTAATTTGTTGCTTGACATTCCTAGGATTGTTTGTAAACTACAAATCAGCAATTCTCTTTTTCACTTCTCTCACTTTACGGTTTGATAGAAAAAATGCAGATTTCTCCATGCAAGTTTTAAAGTATAATTCATTATTTTATTATGTATTTTCACAACCTCCCCCATTCCTTCCCAATATAAAATATGCACTTATAAATAACTATGTCTCTATAACTTCAATCTAATTAAATGAAATATAAATTGCAAATGCCAGGCATTCATCAAGACAGTTGTGGATCAGAACAAAGGACCAAAACTGTATAAACAGGGGAAACAATATAGCTTTCCCCAGTTTAGAACCAAAATGAGCAGGACACTTTGAATTAAAGAAAGAAAGGAAAAGACAGGAAGTAAGGAAAGACGGAAGAAAGAAATAAAGGAAAAAAGGTGAGACAAAGCAAGCAAGCAGGGACATTTAGAATCAAATCAGTTTTGAAACTGGTTCACCCTGGGGCTAGGAAACTGGAGAGGGAGGATAATTGGCTGCGGCTACAAAAGCATAGCAAAATCCTTTTGATGGAAAAATTCTCTGTCTTAACTGTGGTACAGATCTCATAAATCTATACATGTAATAAAATTACACAGAAATTCCATAAACACACTCAGAAGTGCATGTAAAATGAGAAGTCTGAATAAGTCTATTAGGACTCACTTAATGTCAATTTCCTGATCGTGGTAGTATACTCTGGTTACCAGACGTTATCATTCTGGGGCACTAGGAGAAGAGTATACCAGATTTGGGGTCTCTGTGTACTATTTTTACTGCATGTGAAACTATAATTATCTCAAAGCAGAGAAGTTTTTAAAACATGGGCCCATAATCATCTTATAAAACATAGAAAGGGGTTTGAAGTCTATTTTTCTAAGTCCTATCATTGGGGTCCCTGATTTCAAGTCTCCATGGGTAAATATTAGTAAAGTTTTAATGAAAAACAAATTTTATCTTTCATAACTGTGAATTGGTGTATATTCATTATTTTGAAGCCAATATAATAAAATAAGTATTATGGCATACAATTTTATAACTACAAACCTTTCAAGAGAGGGTCTAATCAAGTAATTTCCCCCCATTATGCTAAAATAGTTAAAAATATAATGAACATGGTACATCTGGTCCAGACTATAAATGGTCTTTAAATTTAACTCAAATAAACAATTTGCAGAATTTGCAATATACATTGCTCTATTATATTAGTTAGTTTCCATTAATAAAAGCTCTTACTTAGTAATCACCTAAATTTTGACATGAGACAATTCTATTTTCTTCTTGTTGAAACTGAAGATTCATAGAGCAATTTTAGAAAAAAAATAAATGAATAAATGAATAAACAGTTTATAGGGAAACAAGAGTGATGACAGGAATTTAGAAAGGGGGAAGCCTTCTTTATTTTGGAGATTTCACAACTTTCAACTGCTGAGAAAATTTCTTACACAGGAGAGAAAGAGATAATAAATGAGTCTTAGAGCTGTCAGAAACTTTCTCTAAGGAAACATTCACAAGAAGAATTCTGTACTCTTAAATCAAAAAGAGAAAATTCAAGAGTTGCATTAAGGAAATAATTATATAAGTACCAAGAGAAGCAATCCCCCATAGAAGCCTAATACTACCCCAAAGAACAAAAGAGAATCTCTAGATAGTGCCTATAGCCTGGCTTCCTTGCCCTATTATTCTGCATGTGAAGGATGAAGAAAGTTCTCATTTTATATCACTTGTTTGTTCATAGCAGAATTCTTGTTCGGCAAAAATCATTTTTTTCTTATAGTTCAGAAGAGCCGATCTCAGTTTTAGAATGCATATAAATACAAATTTAGTTCCACATTTATTGAAGCTCCATACGTTATAATTGAAAATTTAGTAGAAAGAAAATAAAAGATAATTTTAAGAGATTGAAGCAAAGATTGCTCTGGGAGAGTTGAGTACGCAAGCATAGCCCATCTTGAGAATTCCAGGAAAAATGTCCTTTAGGTGGTAATGTTCAGCTAAGAAAGTGCATTATTTGAGCCCATACATGGAAAAAACATGTAGATTGAACCCATAAAGGAAAAGGGAAAAATTATTTATAAATTTTTATTAACTATTTCTTCATTTAATTTTCTAGAATGTTGCCAGATGTTGCAAAGTTCAAGCTGTAAAGACATTAGCTTTGAAAATAAGTGGCAGGAGTTTGCTTTGTTTCAACATACAGCAAAAAACAAAAACAATAACCAAAATGAAATCAAAAAACAAAAATACATTTTTTATAGCACCAAAATATATTTGGATTTTTCCTATATAATATGATTTGAACTGGTGAAGACAACTTCTTAACATCACCAAATCAACCAGAGTTTTACTTTTTTTTTTCTCTAGGGTAAATACATTTGATCTCTGAAACATTTTTCTTGGTTTTTGTTCTCCCAGACTGCTAGTTTTAATTCTTCCTCTATAGCTGTTCCTTTTTAGCCACCTCAGAAAACACCTGTTCATTGCCTTCTCTTCTCATAAAACTGATTTACTCAGTATCATTACCTTGCCATTTACTCAAACATTCTTCTTTGGTACCATATTTGCTAGCATCACCTTACATTTAGTATTCAGAAATCTATGTATCTGACACAGATATGATAACCAGTTTTCATCTCGGCTCACCACATCTCTGCTCATATGCCAAACATCTTCACAAGTGTCTCAAATTAAAAATTCCTAAACCTACTTTCCATTCTGCATTCTCTATTCTAATGAAGGATGCCACCATACCCAGCTACCAACTCACAGTGCCACACATGACACCTTCCTCTCTCTTATTCACACTTTCAATTTGTCACCAAATCTTATTGTCATCCCCTGCCATTCTCTAAATTATCTTATTGCTCTTCATTCTAAAAGTCAAGGCATTGTCCAGATTATCATAATTTCACCTAGCTTTCTATAAGATCCCCCTTATCAATCTTACTAAATTCACATTTATCTCATTTGAAATAATGTTATGTGATGAATCTAAAGTAATCATAGTATGTGTACTGGATCACTTAATTCTCAAGTCTCTTGAAGAGGTTCACATTGAATTTAGGATTAAGTATCACCCCATTAAAGACACTTTTAGGATCCTATATTCATGTGTATGTCTTCAGCCTCATCTATTTTCACTTCCCCTTCTGACATCACCCTCCTAATATAATGGTTTATATCCAATCTAGGGATATTTATACATTTTTTTCTGAATCTTAAATACTTGCTACTTATTTATCTTATTCTACGTAGGAAATTCTATTATATTTCATGTTTTAGCTTAAACATTTGCTCACCCAATACCTGAATTCTGACACTGAGCGTAATGTTTATTCTTGTTTTTGTGTGGTGGTTAAAATAATCAAATAAATACTATATCCTCTAGAGTTAACAGAGAGAAAACATAAAAGAGTGATTACAGCTGGGCGCAGGGGCTCACGCCTGTAATCCCAGCATTTTGGGAGGCCAAGGCGGGCAGATCATTTTGGGAGGCCCAGGTGGGCCGAGGTCAGGAGATTGAGACCATCTTGGCTAACACAGTGAAACCCCGTCTCTACTAAAAATACAAAAAATTAGCCGGGCGTGGTGGCGGGCGCCTGTAGTCCCAGCTACTCGGGAGGCTGAGGCAGGAGAAAGGCGTGAACCCAGGAGGCGGAGCTTGCAGTGAGCTGAGATCATGCCACTGCACTCCAGCCTGGGCGACAGAGCGAGACTCCGTCTCAAAAAAAAAAAAAAAAAGTCATTACATAAGGAAATGTACAGAAACGGATAAGAAATTTAACAACGGATTTCACTGACAAACAAAACGGATCATGGAAGAAATGTAAAGAGCATAAATCTGCCTTACATACACTCAGATTTATTTCATTCTCTCTTTCTATTCTCATGAGAAAAAAATTATAAAACATATTTTTCAGAAATGTACTAATATTACATGTGAATTATGACACTTATTGTTAAACTTTTATCCCCTTATGTGTGCTAGTCCATCACAAAGCATTTACATCATTTTTTTTCCACCATGAAAACAAAAACAGTGAGCTGTAGTCCTCAGTGTGTACTTAGCATCAAGTTCAAATGTCATGCGGTAGAGAATAACATGAATAGTCAAAAACTTTTGCTAAACTCTTGAGATGAAGTATTATATGGTGATTATAAAAACAGATGCCAAAGCTAGATTGAATCTCTTCAAATATTGGCACTGCCGTTTCCAAACTATGTGATCTTAAATCAGCTACTTAATCTCATCTGTAAAACAGAAATGATATTAGTACACATAATATTGAGTTTGATGCTATTTAAAAGTTATAGGTGTGAATTTGGTAAAACAGTGACTAGCACAAAGTAAACATCTCATAAGTGACTGTTATTATAATAAATTATTTTTGCACCTTGCCATTTGTTACAAGATTTCTGTGAAAGAACAAAAGTACAAAGCAGACTCAAAAGTAACATATTCTAATCTCTTACTCAGTCTAGTCTAGTCAACTATCCAATATATATCAAAGAAAACACTGGATTGGCATTCATGAAAATTTCAGAAATAAACTAGTCAGCAGATGTGAGGACTCATACAAATTAATGTGCAAATTATACCAGGAGTTTTCCATATTAAAAGCGAAGCCATAAAAACAATGAATGAGTCTCTCACTAGGATTTAGGACATCAGGGATGCAGATAAATGTATTTTCCTCTTCTTCTTTTTTTTTTTTTTTTAATAAAGAAGTAGCCTGAAGTTTTTGCAGCATGGGAACTTACCTACTAGCAACAAAATGCTGATGTAGTTATACATATGTGGGACACTTTTGTCTCAGAATCTTACCTGTTTTCAAAGAACCGACACCAATTTGCCAAATACCTCCTCTGTGCTTCGTATCAGAAGAAGGAAAACACCACTCGCCTATACACCCACTATCATGTTATTTCTTAGTAATGGCTTAGTGTCTGACTCATATAAGGAACTTAATAAATATTTGTTAAATAAGTGCTTTATTTATTGGGATTTACACAAGAATAGATTTTATCTTAGAACCTATTCAATGAAATTAGTTTGGTATCAAAAATAACTTAAATGCATGCTCCATAATCAACCTAGCTGAAGTACATTTAATTATTTATGCACTGTTACTAAATAGGGAAGAAGAAGTAAAATATGAAAACTAGTTGGGGGCCTCTGGTATCTGACTTACATTAAAATGTGACTTCATCACTAACCAGCCATGTAAATGATTTATTTCTATGTCAGTAACATAGAGTAATCTTCATCTTATCACAGATATAATACTTTTTTATATATACACATTTATTTACGTACATAAAAGAAGAATTACGTGAAATAAAACAAGTTACTACCTCCTGTATTCTTTATACTCAATTAGGTCTATTCAAGATTATAGAGGAATTACAGGGCATGACCAGTTCTGCCATCAGCCATCAAGAAACTTATGATTTTGTTGTTAGGATAGAATTCATCAAGCCACTTAATCAGTTTGTATCTCAGAAATGGTTAGTACCTAGTGGATTTCCTGCACTGGACTAAATGTACAGGTTATGGGGAAAGCAGAATACAGAGAAATGACACATTTGTTCTTCCTTGAAGAAGCTTTCAAGTATTAAATGTGGCATGTCCAGAGTTCATAACTTTAAAATAGAAGATCTGGACTTTTTTGTCAAAATGTCTTTCCAACTTAATATTCTATATACTACAGCCATACAATAACAAACAACTCAAGAATATAGGTTAGAGACAAAATATTAAATACAAGCATCATTAAGTGTCAGATTTTTAAGGCAAGTTATTAGGAGGAAGATATTAGTAGGATTTGGATGGAACAAAATTGAACTAATTCCAGAGCATGGCAGACAATATGATTGTGGACACGGAGTCAAGAATTAAAAAGTGCAAGTAGGCTAAAGTATCAGCGAAGAGGTTTTTTTTTCAAAATCTGATTGTGCATAGATAAAATTCCAGGGTGGAATTTGAGAACTAAGATGGAGATAAAAGAAAGACAATAAGATATATATTTCAGAAGTCAAATAGATATGATGCCCAAACGAAAGTAATGAATAAATACGACTCTATGTTTTCACACTGAAGTTATTGGAAGAAGGAGGATATAACCAACCGACATAGAAACACAGGAGACATGTGTTTTTTGAGGAAAGCAATACTTTTTGTTCTTGACACATTGAGTTATAAGTGATGTTGAGTTACTCACCAAGTAGAAAGCTAAATGATGCAAATGATAAATTAACTGGAGTAAATGGTAGAGATTTAGACTCTGAAGGAATCTGTAAAAATAAAAGCTTACATAGTAAGAGTAGGTAACCCATGAAGGGAGAACACAACATTCCAAGAGCTAAGATGTGGAGAATAACCACTGCTAGGATTCAAGAGAAGGGAACGTGGATCAAGGAAACATGAAGCTAAATTACGTATGAAATGTTGTCTACATGAGAGCGAATGAAATGTTAATGTGAAATACCTTTAAAACATCACACTTTTTAGGTAAACACATTCTTTTAACATTGAAGAACAAAAATTAGGTAAGAAATAAAATGAAAGAAAGAACAAAAGAAAGAAGGGAAGGAAGAAAAGGAAAGAAGGAAGGATAGAAGGAAAAAAGGAAGGAAGTAAAGTCATTTTATCACAGGTAGATGTTGACATTTTAATTAGCAGACATGCATTACTCTTCTAACTCAAGTCCTGCACACCACATAGTACCTGTAAATTAAAAATGTGAGGGGCTTCTGATGGTGAGATTGAATATTCAATATCATGCTTGGCAAAAAGAACCTTATCTGGTCAACTCTAACATATTACCTGATCTCGTCATAATTAATTTGAGCGTTTCAGAACCATGTATCATATCAGAAAATTCATAACATAGAGATAGCTTTTATTTTGTGTGTCTGAAATGTGAGCAATCATTACCATTACATATATGTAAAATGTTTGTACATTAAAAATTTCTGCTCTTTCATATGAAGATTTTCTTCACATATAGATTTTTGCTAATTCCTGCTTTTGTTTGTTTCTTTCTGGGTTCCTTTGCTTAACCATACTTTTGTTTTACTTAATAGTTTTATTAATATTAGTATTAGTATTACTAGTTTCATTAATTATATTCATTTCCAGGAAATATGCAGTTCATTAAAAAGTATTCCACTACTGTATGTGCATTTTTGCAGGAATAAAAACATTCAGCATCAAATATGGCAGTCAGCATCTTATATTTTCCTTAAAATTTCCAATTATTTGATTATTTACTTTTTAAGTGTTTTTTTAATTTAATTTAATTTTTTTATTTTTATTTTAAGTGTTTTATATGCACCAACTTACCTTTTGCATAAGATAATATTATGAGGTACGTATGATCATTCTACCAATGTTTAAAGATGAGAAAAATGAGTCATGGAGCAGTTAAGTAATCTGCCTTGGCCATACCTGTATGAAAATCCAGATGCTCTCTCAAGACTGAGACTTAAAAACATAAGAGGGTATTTTTGGGGTATTACTGACCTGAAATCATTAGAAAACCTAAAATGTTGGCTATTCTATGATTCTGTTAGTTTTTCTTTTCCCATTCTCATCTTCAC
Organism: Homo sapiens; assembly: GCF_000001405.40. Taxonomy (NCBI): domain Eukaryota; kingdom Metazoa; phylum Chordata; class Mammalia; order Primates; family Hominidae; genus Homo; species Homo sapiens. Next base: position 195,632 of record NT_187536.1, on the reverse strand, counting down.
TTCATAAAATTTGCCATCGTTTCATATTTTTCTACAAGATTATTTATTCATAACTTGTTTATTTCTAATTATATTCTAGACACTATGATTATTTTTGGATATGTAATACAAATAAAGTAAAGTAACTAATATTTTGGTTGTATGGTTCAAACATTTGATTTTCTGCTAGTGTGAAACAATAAAAGAAGAACATTTAACACAAAACATTCTTTTTTTTCCAAGAAACATATTATTATAAAATTAGTAGAATTGATAATTACCAAATACTGGTTTTGCATGCATTTTTCAAGAACTGATACATTAGAAATTGTAATTTGATAAAATGCAAATGCCTGATTAGCTTTCTAATATTAATTTTGTCTTACGAATCATTGTTGAATTTGACTCTGGTCTGAAGTCGGTTTAAAGAAGAATTCACTTGGAAGTATTTCTCTGCAATTGTAGCTTTAAAGGAACTATATTGTGCCTTCTCTGAGCTTGAGTTTCCAATTGTTTTAGAATTTGGCAATAAAAGACTTTTACAAGTACTTACACCATCCCCTGTTCCCTATTAGGAGAAGTCTTTAATTTTCTGTGTAAATATCTGGAAGAATTTAAGTGCCTTGTTAGCACATTATTTTCTCTTTGGGTATTTTCTGCTCAAACTACCTCTTTTCTATTGGTTAAGTAGCTTTTGTACAAGGAAAATAATTCTGTGGCCCTTGTGGTCAGAAGAAATAAAGATTATAAGATCCCTTTTATCCTCTGCCTGGATGTTCTTCTCTAGTGAAAGGATTCATCAGCAATTTTCTCATTCTTTATTTCTCTTCACTGCTTCAGCCACTGGCAAGCAATGGTATTCATTCTGTGAACCCTGTGTTTCAGGCATCTTGCTTCTTAGCTCATTAATAGAGCAGCTAGAAAGAATGGTACTCTCTTAAAGGTATACTTTCTTTAAAAAAACAAACAACAACAACAACAACAAAAAACAAACAAAAAAGGCTGGGCGTGGTGACTCACCTCTATAATCCTAGTACTTTTGGAAGCTGAGTTGGGCAGATCATTTGAGGCCAGGGATTTGAGACTGGCCTGGGCAGCATGGTGAAACCTCATGTGTACAAAAAATAAAAATTACAAAAATTAGCCAGTCACGGTGGTACACGCCTGTAGTCCCAGCTGAGATGGGAGAATCCCTTGAACTCTAGAGGTAGAGGTTGCAGTGAGCCCAGATTGTGCCACTGCATGCAGCCTGGGAGACAGAGCAAGACTCTGTCAAAAAACAAAACAAAACAAACAAACAAAACAGAATATTTAACATTTTGTCTAAATAAGACTGTTTTTAAACAGAAATATACCGCGACTTTCACAATATTGGAAAAAAGCCTCTGCGACTAAAGTGTTTTTGGCTTTCTGATAAAAATAAATAATTAAGTGGAAAGCCATTGACCTTTTCCTCAACTCTTCTGTCTTACAATTGCCACTCATTTTGACCAGGTTACTGTTATTTTCCCTTAAAATTATGATATAATACTGGTAGCTCACAGCCGGGCGCGGTGGCTCCCGCACTTTGGGAGGCTGAGGGGAGTGGATCACCTGAGGTCAGGAGTATGAGACCAGCTTGACCAATATGGCGAAACCCCACCTCTACTAAAAATACAAAAATTAGGTGAGCCTGGTGGCCCGGGCCTGTAATCCCAGCTACTCAGGCGACTGAGGCAGGATAATAGGCTGGTTGTCCCTATGTATGCTGGGCTCCGGCTGAACCCAGGGATTTTATGGGCCTCAGAGGGAAGAAAGTGCATTCTGATTGGTCCATATTTGGCCCCGGGCAGGCCCAAAAAAGGCACTACAAATTTTCACTCTGGTGTGTGGGACTGGCAGCCAGGCCCCCAGCTTTCAGGCCCTTCCTGGCCTGAAGGTGGGCCTCACCGGGGAACCATTCCCTTTCACTCAGGAACCTGTCTGCCTCCTTCTGCCATTCAGTGTGCCCTGGCTGTAGGTGCCAAGGAGCTCCTGAAGGCCAGTGCCTGAGCTGCCCTAAGCCCCCCATAGGCTTCCCTCCTATGCTCTTTGGTATCCAAAGCCTGGAGTGGGCCAAGGTGACAGGGGCCTGGTGTCTCAGCACTGCCCCCAGTGTGTGCACACCTGGAGGAGCTGTGACAGCACTCAGGCTCAGCTGACTTTGCTCCAAGATTGGAGCAGAACTTGACAGCAGGGAGAAGCCAGGTAGCAGGAGGAGGCACTTCCCAAACTACAAGGGCAGGGGTTCCTTCCTGGGCCCCCCAGAATGCAGGGATGCCTGGGATCACAGCCACGGTTTGGGTGACTGCAGCTGCACCTGGGGTTACAGGGCTCCTTCCTGCTCCATGCAGTGGGAGGCCTGGGTCCACAGCCACAACTTGGGCAGCTGGGGCTACACCCAGGGAGCTCCCACAGTCTGTGAAGAATGCAGCCCCAGCTGTGCCCCTCCACTGCGGCCAGTGATGGAGTGCCACTCCAGATGCGCCGCCTCTTCCATCATTGGGTCTAGTACAGAACACATGATCAAACTCTTCCATTTAATCAAATATTGTATGTCAAATCTGAAACTTTGGAGAGCAACCAATGTAAGCCCCAATACATAAGTACTTAAAGCAGAAATCTTTATATTGGGGCCATGGTATCAAAGGAAAACACTTGTTAAAAGCTATATTCTTTGTTTTCTGTATCCTCAACATTCATATATAGCCACATCCAGTAGAAATAAGTGTGGCTAGTGATGAATATTGTAGATTGAATTCCCCTTGAAATGTGCATTTACTAATATGGAATCTTCACTTTAACTGATTGTTCTGGAAAAATTGTGGGTTTATCTAATTATTAAGATACTTCCAGAAGCAATAGGACACTTTGGCTACTACCTTCCAGAGTAAGATCTTACTATTTTTTCAAAAGCAGAGATTTTTCTAAGTTAAAAAATTCCCCAGAGTATTTAGATTTAAAATAAGGGCTTTACTTTTTATTGTATCATTTTCTTCCATATTTTAAAATAATAACTACACTAGATAATAGCATAATATGAGAGTCAAAAATTCTGATAATTTAAAAATGCTTATTTTTTCTCAGAATTGTACAGTTAATAAGTAAATATACTTGATATTGTTTTTTATTTATTTTTCTTCAAGTCAGTGTATTCAAGTCTTTGAAAGAAACCACCTGTATTCACCTATACTATAAGAATACAGGGTAATATTGCTATCATTTAATGATATTAATACAGAAACAATGAAGCAAAACAAAAAATTTAGAAAAATAGAACTTTAAAAAATATACATAAATGAGAACAGAAGAAAAATGCACAAAATATAAGAAAGACACATATAATTTTAGAAAAACTATATATTGCATCACATTATAAGAGGAATTCATAATTTAAAAGATGAAATACGCGATATTAAGATAAAAAAGAAATAAAAATATATCAGACAATGCCTAAGATAGACATTAAGGAAAAAATAAAAAATGATTTCATATAATTTAACTATCAATTATAAACACTGAAAGAACATAAATAGCCCTATAAAAATCCAGGATATCAGTGACAGTCGCCAGGACTCACAAATTTTAAGAAATAGTTATAATGACAAATCAATAAAATAAAGAATAAAACAAATTTATAAATATTAAAGAATTCTGAAGGTATCTCATCCCTTAATAAATGAAAAAGTAACTTAAAATTATAACTTAGCTATCTAAGAAATGTTTCCAAAATATGTCACAAGTGGAGAACATATGAAGTATGTGGCCGTATTACCACTTTGGAGCAGAAATATAGGAAGGGTAAAATGAAAAGGGCAGAAGAAGTTTTGTTTGCACTAGTACCCTGAAAATCTGATAGGGTGTTCCACATTAAGATGTCTAATGCTAACTTTTATTTCAAGGTGTTTTCAGAACTTCTCAAGAAATCCCCTACACTGAGCATCTCTCTCCAACAGTTCCTTTACCTGAGAGTCTGATTCCTTTCTTCATACAGTGGTGTACATTTATTTCCCCACTTCGAGGAGTTCCCTTGGTTCATATCAAGCCTCATTCTGCTCACCTCCCATCTTTGCTGTAGTTGGCTGAAGTATATAAAATCTAAAGTAATCTCATCTACTCTCAATAAGGTAATGTCTTCACAAACTTGCCCTACTCCAGTCTTCTGAGTTTTTATTATTCTATAAGTGAAGAAATTTAAGAGCCCTCAAGAGTCCTGGAAGAAACTCTATTCAATTTCCTTTGACAATCTGATTATTACCATTTGATATTTTGCTTTTGAACTTTATATTTATCGTATGACCATGCCATGCATAAACTTAAATTTTAAAATACAATTGGAAGAAAAACTGAAATGAATGAGAAGAAAAATAAGCATGATGGTGAGGGAACTTCAAACTAAGTAAAATAAGGCAAGCATGACCTTGTGTCTTTTCACTATAAAAAAGATAAATTTGAGCAAATGATATTTATCTCTAAATATTTGAGGAAATAACAATGAGATATTGAAATATTGATAAGGAGTAAAACTATTTTCAGAAAGCGAACATTTCTGGAAGATTTTTTTTCTTAGTGAAATGAACATCTTTCTCAGAAATGAAAAAATAAATGTTGAATATATCAAAAATAAATGAGTAAATAAAATAAAAACAAAATAGTTATCATCATAAGTAATAAGTGCTTACTGGTAAGAGAAGATATGAAGGGCATTGATTTATGAATTACCTAAATAGTTTCCTGTATCATACTTTCCTATATTATGTATAATATTTTTTATACTCCACACTATAACTGGGTAGAGGATACACATACACACACACACACACACACTCTGTCTCTCACTTTCTCACATATGCTACATCTTTTACTGTTCAGGAAACAAGATTTGTTTTTCCTGCTCAACTTTGTGACTGAATTCAGAGCCTTGAAATATTGTTTGGTGAATATATAAACATAATCTTATCAAAATGAATTTCACATTCAAACATTAAAAAGTGCTCTGAATTTCTCTGGCTATTTGAAAAAGAAGCAGGGAATTCTAAGTATTGAAACAACTGAAACTTTAAGTAAAACAGCTTTCTTAACCAAGACTGATTTTTTAAAAACTGAAGTTATCACTATTTCACACTTTATATTTTGTAGTTTTTCATTTGTAAAGAAACTCTTCAATTCTCCTCATACATTTTTATACATACCAAATATAAAAATAATGCAATTATGTTATATATGCCATTTGTATAATTAGAGTCTAGAATTCCTCTGCAGTCCTTGATTTTTTTTGTTATATGCCTTTGTTTTCAAAGAAAGCTTATTTCAGAAAGCCCAGAAATTACATCCCTGTTTCACACTGACTAGGGTGATAGTAGCCATTATTTTTTTTTTCCTTCCTGAAAATAAATAAATGAGTAAAGCAGAAAGCACTTATTTTTTAAATGTTAAAATGTTTGCACAAATTTAAATGAAAACAATCTTTATTTATCTCTACTATAGTTTGAATGTGTTACTATCACTAAACAACCAAGGGTACAGTTCAATAGATCCTGGAGTGATGGACAGATGGAAAGAAAAGTCTACTGGGTGCTTTATTAGTTCTCTTCCATTCTTGAGCTGGTAATCGGTAAAAAAGCTTTGTCCTAAAATAAGTTGAATATTTCACTGGTAAAAAGTGATTATCTTCTTTTTTCCCATGACTGACCTTAATAACTCACAAACTCCATAGGCACTTTGTGATGTCTGTGAGTTATGAGACTTTCATACTCATGAAAGAAATATAATAATCACCCTTCACTACAGTGATATTCTACACCCTTCATATTAAATCAGTAAAAGGCACATGGTTCCTTGTAATTGCAAGAAGGCTGAATAAACATGTCAGATAGCTATCTAAATTCAGATATGTGACAACTGTGGATCATTGTTTGGAAAAGGGTTTTTATATCCACACTGTCAATATTTTAAAAATCAGTACATTTTATTAACTTGAATGAGGAAAATATGATTCAATACAGCCTCTAAATTTTAGGAGGGTTCTTGACTTATTTTGTAATTGCTTGTTTAAGCATTATTACATTTACATTGAAAAATTCAACTAGGATATGTTAGTATGCCATTATATTTTTATTAGAAAGAGTTAGCACATATGTTAACTTCTAATTTGTATAAATTATTTACAAAGCATCCACCCTACTATGTAAAAATCATGAGGATGCCAACAAAATTAGTTTCCTGACAACATCAAGGTAGATGCATAGACTGCGTTAACAGAAATTAATAGGTAATGGAATTTCTCCTGAGAAATATAAATAATGTATAGCTCTTTACTTATTGAATAAATAAGACTAAACAAAGAAGATAGAAGGATAAGGGAAAAAGACATTTTATATTTTAAAAGGAACAGGCTTGTAAAAATATTATCAGTGTTCTAATTTCATTTATGAATAAACTCTGGCTTGTGTATTTGGCCAACTAAAGATAGGAACCAATTATATTATTAATTTTTTTAAATTAACAAATACAAAATTTTAATAGCTTTCTGTCATATAGTTTTAACATGTGTAGATTTGTGTAACCACTATCACAATGGTGACATTGACTAATTCCATCATTCAAAAACTCCTTATGATGCTCCTTTGAAATCCCATCCTCTCCCTATCTCTCACTTCTAGCAATGCTGAAAATTTATTACTGTATGTTCGCTTTCCAGAACATTATATAAATATAATTATACAGTATATAATCATTTGAGACTGACTTCTGTCATTCAGCAGAATGCCTTTGAAATTCACTAATGTTGCAACATCTAAAAATTGTGCCTTTTTAAAATTTTCTTTTCTTTTTTTTTTTTTCTGTACATAGTAGGTGCATATATTTGGGGATTACGTAATATATTTTGATACAGGCACGGAAGGCATAATAATCACATCAGTGTAAATAATAGGGTATCCATTCCCTCAGGCATGAATGCTTTGTGTTATGAACAATAAACTATATTCTTTTAGTTGTTTTCAAATGTGCAATTAAATTATTTTTTACTACAGTCACCCTGTTGTGCAATTAAATACTAGGTCTTATTCATGCTTTCCAACTACTGTTTTGTAGTTAACCATCCCCAGCTTCCTCCACCCTCTCCACTACACTTATCTTCCTTTGGTAACCATCCTTCTACTCTGTATCTCCATGAGTTTAATTGATCCATTTTTAGAGCTCATAAATAATTGAGAACTTGCAATGTTTGTCCTTCTGTGCCTGGCTTATTTCACTTTATACAATGACTTCTAGTTCCATGAACGCTGTTGAAAATTGCTGAAACTTATTCTTTTTTTTATGGATGAATAGAGCTCCATTCTGTATGTGTAGCAGATTTTTTTAATCCATTCATGTGCTGATGGACACTTAGGTTGCTTCCAAATCTTAACTATTGTGAACAGAGCTGCAACAAACATGAAAGTGCAGGTATCTCTCTGATATATTGATTTACTTTCTTTGGAGTATATATCCAGCAGTGAGATTGCTGGGTCATATGGTAGCTCTACTTTCTGCATTTTGAGGAACCTCCACGCTGTTGTTCATAGTGGTTTTATGAATTTACATTCCAACTACGGTGTACAAGGATTTCCTTTTCTTCACATTCTTCCCAGCATTTACTATTACCTGACTTTTGGATAAAAATCATTTTAACTGGGGTGAGATGATATCTCATTGTAGTTTTGATTTTTGTTTCTCTGATAATCAATCATATCAAGCAACTTTTCATATGCCTCTTTGCCATTTGTATATCCTCTTTCGAGAAATGTCTATTCAGATCTGCGCATTTGAAAAAAATCAGATTATTAGATTTTCTCCTATGGAGTTTTTCGAGTTTCATATATATTTGGGTTAATAATCGCTTGTCAAGTGGGTAATTTGCAAATATTTTCTCCAATCCTGTGGGCTGTCAGCTCACTTTTTTAATTGTGTCCTTTGCTGTGCAGTTTTTTTGACTTGATGTGATCTCATTTGTTCATTTTTGCTTTGGTTGCCTCTACCTGTGGGGTGTTTCTCAAGAAGCCTAATGTACTGGAGGGTTTCCCAAATATATTCTTGTAGTAGTTTTTTAGTTTGAGGCATTTGACTTAAATCTTTAATCCCTTTTGATTTGATTTTTTTTTTTTTTTTTTTCTCCACGGAGTTTTGCTCTTGTTGTTCAGGCTGGAGTGCAATGGTATGATCTGGGCTCGCTGTAACCTCTGCCTCCTGGGTTGAAGTGATTCTCCTGCCTCAGCCTCTCAAGTGGCTGGGATTACAGGCTCATGCCACCACATCCGGCTAATTTTGTATTTTTAGTAGAGACAGGGTTTGACCATGTTGGTCAGGCTGGTCTCGAACTCCCGATCTCAGGTGATCTGCCTGCCTCAGCCTCCCAAAGTGCTGGGATTACAGGCATGAGCTACCACACCTGGCCTTGATTTTTTTTTTTTTTTATGTATAGCAAGAGATGGGGGGTTCAGTTTCATTTTTCTGCATATAGATATCCAGATTTCCTAGAACCACTTATTGAAGGGGCCATCCTTTCCCCAATTAATGTTCTTGAAAGCTTTGTTGAAAAAGAGTTAATTGTAGATGTATGAATTTATTTCTCGGTTCTTTATTCTGTTTCACTGATTTATGTATCTTCTTTTATGGCAGTACATGCATTTTGGTTACTATAGCTATATAGTATAATTCGAAGTCATGTCACATGGTTCCTCCAGTTTTGTTCTTTTCGCTCAGGAGATCTTTGGCAATTCTGGCTCTTTTGTAGATCAACATAAATTTTAGGATTTTTAAAAATTTCTGTAAAGAGTGTTATTGGTATTTTGATGGGGAGTGCACAAAATCTGTAAATTGCTTTGGGTGGTGTATTAGTCTGTTCTCACACTGCTATGAAGAAATACCCGATACTGGGTAATTTATAAAGGAAAGAGGTTTAATTGATTCATAGTTCCATACGGCTGGGGAGGCCTCAGGAAACTTACAATCGTGGTAGAAGGGGAAGTGAACACATCCTCCTTCACAGGGAGGCAGGAGAGAGAAGTGCCAACCTTCTTCACAAGGAGGTAGGAGAGAGAGGTACCAAGCAAGGGAAATGGGCCTTTAAAGCCATCAAATCTCATGAGAACTCACTATCAAGAGAACAGCATGGGGTAACCACTCCCATGATTCAATTACCACCCCACGTGGTCCTTCTCACAACACGTGGGGATTATGGGAACTACAATTCAGGAAGAAACTTGGGTGGGAACACAGCCAAACCATATCAGCTAGTATGAACATTTTAAGAATATTGATTATTCTAATCCATGAACATGAAATATTTTCCATTTTTTAAGTGTCCTCTTCCATTTCTTGCAACATTTTTATAGTTTTCATTTTAAAGATCTTTCATTTCTTGGGTTAGATTAATTCCTTTGTATTTTATTTTATTTTTAGCTACTGTACATGGGATTACTAACAAATTATTTTTCAGATTGTTTGCTGTTGTTATATACAAATATTACTGCTTTTTGTGTGTGAATTTTGTATCCTGCTAATTCAGTGAATTTGGTGATCAGTTTTATTACCTTTTTGGTATATTCTTAAGGACTTTCCTAATATAAGATACATCATCTGCAAACAAGGATAATTTGACTTCTTCCATTCCAATTTGGATGCCCTTTATTTGTGTCACTTATCTGATCGCTCTAGCTGTATTTCCAGTACTATGATGAATGACAATGGGCATTCTTGTTGTGTTCCCGATTTTAGAGCAAAGGCTTTCAGTTTTTCCCCATTCAGCATGATACTAGTTGTGAGTCTGTCAAATACAACTTTTATTTTGTTGGGGTATGCTTCTTCTACAACCAGCTTTTTTAGGGTATTTATTCTACAGAGATGTTGAATTTTACTAAAGGCTTTTTTAGTATCAGTTGAAATGATCATATGGTTGCTGTCCTTCATTTTCCAATTTATTGACACAGCATTGCTCATAGCAGCCACTCATGATCCCCTGAATTTCTGTGGTATCAGTTGCAATGTCTTCTTTTTCATCTCTGATTTTATTACTTGGTCTTTGGTTTGCTCTTGAATTTTAATTTGTTTACTTAAATTTTTTTTCTTTTTTGATGTAATGACTTATGGCTATAAACATTCCTCTGAGTACTGTTTCTGCTGTGTCTCATAGTTTTTGATATTTTGTGTTTCAATTATTACTTGTTTCAAGAAATTTTTCAATGTTTTTCTTAATTTCTTCATTTACCCTTTGGTCCTTCAAAAACATGTTGTTTAATTTCCATGTGTTTGTATAGGTTCCAAAATTCCACTTATAATTTATTTCTAGTTGTATTCTATTGTGGTCAGAGAGGATTTTTAATATTATTTTAATTTTTTGAATGTTTTTAAGATTTGTTTTGTAAAGTAACATATGGTCTGTCCTTGAGAATGATCCATGTGCTGATGAGAAAAATGTGTATTTTGTAACCATTCTGTGGCCACTGGATGAAGTGTTGTGTAAATATCTATTAGGTTCATTTTATCTGTACTACAGATGAAGTCTAATTTTTTTTGTTAATTTTCTTTCTGAAAGACCTGTCCAATCCTGAAAGTGGGGTGTTGAAGACTTCAGCTATTATTGTATTAGTGTCTGTCTTTCTAATTAACTCTAATAATATTTGCTTATTATATCTGAGTGCTCCACTGTTGGGTGCATATATACTTACAATTGTTATGTCCTCTTGCTAAATTGACTGCTTTATCATTATATAGTGACCATGCTTGTCTCTTCTTAAAGGTTTTGCCTGGAAATTTATTTTCTTTAATGTAAGTATAGCTACGTAAGATCCTTTATCATTTCCATTGGCATAGAATATTTTTTTCTATCCCTTTATTTTTAGTCCATGCATGTCTTTATAGGTGAACTGTGATTCTTGTTGGCAACAGATCTTTGGATCTTGTTTTTTGTTGTTGTTGTTTACTTTTGTTTTGTTTTAATCCACTTAGCCACTCTGTGTCTTTCAGTTGAAGACTTAAGTCATTTAGAGTCAATATTATTATTGATAAGTAAGCACTTACTTGCACTATTTCATTATTAATCTTGTGTTCCTTCTTTCCTTCGTTCTTGCCTTTTTTTAGTCTTGTCTTTCTTTAGTCTTGTCTTTCTTTTTAGTCCATTTTCACCTCCAGAATTTCTAGTTGATTCTTTTTAATTATTTCAATATTTTTGTTCAGTTTATCTGCTGATATGATTTAATTTAATGCTTTTTATTTTTGGATCTGTTGTGATTTTTATGTGAAATTATCATGAGGCTTGCAAATACTATCTTATAATTTATTATTTTAAGCTTATAGCAACTTAACACTACTTGCATAAACAAACAAAGCAACAACAAAAAAACTAATAAAAGCTCTATTCCTTAACTTCATCTCCTTCCTTCTTAACTTTTTGTTGTTTCTATTTAAATGTTATTGTACTGTCTATGTCTAGAAAAGATGTTATTATTTTGATTGGTTCATCATTTAATCTTTCTACTTAAGAGTAGCTTACACATCACAGTTACAGTGATATAATATTTTTGTTTTTCTGTAACTTAATGCTACCAGTACATTTGTACCTCACATTATTTGCCATTATTTATTAATGTTTTTGGTTTTCTGATTGAAGTATTCCCTTTAGCATTTATTGTACACTCAGGTTTTTGCTGCTGCTGTTGTTGTTTAGTTGTTGTTTTTTGTTTCTTTGTTTGTTTTGTTTTTGTTTTTGTCTGGGAAAATCTTTATGTCTCCTTCATGCAAAAAGGTTACTTTTGCCAGAAATGGCATTCTAATTCTAGGGTAAAAGTTTTTTGTTTTTGTGTGTGTGTGTTGTTGTTGTTGTTGTTTTCTTTTAGCACTTTAAATATGTCATGCCACTCTCTTCTGGCCTGTAATGTTTCACTGAAAACTCTGCTGCCAGACATATTGGAGCTCCATTATATGTTATTTGTGCCTTTTCTCTTGCTGCTGTTAGCATCCCTTCTTTATCTTTGACCTTTGGGAGTTTTATTATTAAATGCATTGAGGTAGTCTTATTTAGGCAAAATCTACTTAGTGTTCTATAGCCTTCTTATACTTGAATATTGAAATCTTTCTCCAGATTTGAAAAGTTCTCTGTTATTATCCCTTCGAATAAGCTTTCTGTTCCTATCTCTTTCTATATCTCACCTATAAGCCAATAACTCTTAGATTTGCCCTTTTGAAGCTATTTTCTAGATCCTGTAGGCATGCTTCATTGTTTTTTATTCTTTTACTTTTGTGTTCTCTGACTGTATATTTTAAAATAGTCTGTCTTCAAACTCACTAATTCTTCTGCTATGTTAATTCTGCTATTTAAGGACTCTGCTGCATTCTTCAGGATGTCAATTGGATTTTCCAACTCCAGAATTTCTGCTTGATCCTTTTTAATTATTTCAATCTCTTTATTAATTTTGTCTGGTAGAATTCTGAATTCTTTTTCTTGATTATCTTGTATTTATTTGAGTTTCCTCAACATAGCTATTGGGAATTCTCTGTCAGAAAGATCACATATCTCTGTTTCTACAGGATTCGTCCCTCTTGACTTATTTATTTCATTGGTAAGGCCATGTTTTTCTGGATGGTCTTGATATTGTGGACATTTTTCTGTGTGCATTGAAGAGTCAGATATTCATTGTAGTCTTCACAGTCTGAGCTTGTTTGTGCTTGTCCTTCTTGGTAAAGCTTTACAGATATTCAAAAGGACTTGGATGTTGTGATCTCAGCTGTATATGCATTAGGCAGCACCATAAGCCCAGTAACACTGTGGTTCTTGCAGACTAGTGAAGCTGCTTTGATGCTGTTGAACAAAATCTGGAAGAATTTGCTGAATTACCAGGCAGAGATTCCTGATCTCTTCCCTTACTTTCTTTGAAACAAACAGAGCCTCTCTCTGCTCCGAGTCACCTAAAGCTTGGGGTGGAGTGACACAAGCACTGTCATGGTCACCACCACTATGACTGTGCTGGGTTATACCTGAAGCTAGCACAGCACTTGCCCAAGGCTTGTTTTAACCACTTCCTGGCTACCACCTATGTTCACTCAAGTCTCTGGGCCTCTAAAATCAGCAGGTGTTTTAAAGCTAGTCAGATCTCTGTCCCTCCTTTTAGGGTGGTGAGTTTCAGCAGGCCCTCGGTGGGTCCAGAGGTGCTATCTCGGAGTCAGGGACTAGAGTAAAAACCTTAGACCTATGCCTCATGTTGTATTGTACTGTGGCTTAGCTGACATTGAAACCACAAGATGCAGTTTTTTCCCAATCTGCTCTCCTTTTACCAAAGGAGACTATCCTCAAGCTGTGAGCCAACACCACCACAGGCCCACAGAAAGGACTGCCAGACTACTGCAGATGTTTCCTTAAGGACCAAGCTTTTGGTGAATACTGCCTGGGTTGGGACTCACCCTTCAGGAAAGTGAGCTCACCCTTGTGCTTGGGCAGGTCATAAAATGCTATCCAAGAACCAATGACTGGAATTGGGACCCCTAAGAGCCTGCTTGGTGCTTTACCTCACTGTGGCTAAGCTGGTACTTAAGGGACTAGACAGAGTCCCCTTTACATTTTCCTCTGCTTTTCTCAGGCAGCAAGAGATCTGGGAATATGATGACTGGTGTTTTGTTTTGTTTTGTTTTGTTTTTGTTTTTTTGTTTTTTCCTCCTCAGTGCCTCTTTCAGCAATATACAGTTAAAACATGTACTGTCAGTGATCACCTGATTTTCGTTCCTGTGAAGGTGTTTCTTTGGTGTTTAGGTAGTAGTTTATTTGGTGTGCTTTCTAGGGGGATCATTGCTGGAGCCTTCTTTTCTGACATCTTGTTCTGCCTCCCTCCTGTTTCTTTTTTATTGCTAAGTAGTATTGCATTTTATACTAGGGGCAAGACTGTGGAACCCACCATAGGGAGTTCAGCTTTTTCTTATTGTCAAGTCAATCATTTTATCATGTGATCTGAATTACACACACACACACACAAACACACACACATACACAAGTTCACTCTAGTTGTAGTTGTTCTGTGGATAATAGGTAAGAGTAAAAGGATGAATAAAGGTAGAATGGCTAGGAAGCTAGAGCTGTAGTCAGACAGAAGATACAGTATTGTATTTTGGGGGTACCCATGGTGGATGTGGAAATAAAGGAACAAATACAATATATACTTGCAAAGTGAGTTGATAGGATTTGTGGTATAGGGCATTTTTAAAAATTAATTTCTAGTGACTTTGAGATTTCTGAAGATTTAGATGCCACTGGATCACTTTGTTTTTATAACCCTAGTTTTCTACTAAGTGAGCAGAGTAACTATATAATTATATTCTGTTACAAAGTCCTAATAGGAAACCATATTAAAGATGTGAAAAAATGATGTTATATGTCTTATGTCTTTGCCAATGAATATCTTAAAATCCACTCCAATACTCAATGACAATAGAACAAATGTGGAAAGATTGGCAGACATCTTTCAGTATACACTTACAGTAGGTGTTATACTATACTATTGAATAATTTATACAATTTGTTGATATTTTTGCTTGTTTTCTATTTTTACTTATACTCTCTTAGTAGTGTATAGAATAAGAATTGAGAGAGTGATTACAAAATAGCACTGAGCAATAATCTGATTTATTTAAATTGAAGTATGATTTATAATACATCTAATTGGAGATGTTTCTCTTTCACACACTCTCTTATTTCATAAAAGACTGCTTTATATTCTGAACTTAAAAGTTATTTGTTAACTTTTTACAGTTTTTAAGTGATGTATGTTAATTCTGTTTACATTAGTCAAATGGAATCTGTGGGTGGGTGTAAATAAAATATTTCATTTTGTGTATGGCTGTCCTGCTTTACAAATATCACTTAGGCATAATTTAGATCCATTATAGGAGTTAATCGATTACAGAAAGTGTTATATTTTAAGTTAAGGAAAAAATGATTTTACTCAGAATTACTTCAGCCATTTGCAAAAAATAAAATTTTTAGAATATAAATAAAATTTTATAAAAATTGTGTAAAATATGTATTTCATTTTTATACATTATATAAAATATTAATTTTATAAATTAACTCATAAAAATATATAAATATTTTTATAAATCTTATACAAATTAAATAATTTTTTTAAATCTTATAAAAATTAAATTTTAAATTTAATTTTATAAATTTTATCAATTTATTAACATTAAAACTTTTGACATGATTTTATTAATATGCAATATGTAAATTATTTAAACATTAAGAAAAGGATTAAAAGTCATATCAAATATTCTTATTCATGGTTTATATATGTCCCTTAATTTTCATAATGTGCACACATACATATATAATCATGGATGGTAGAAAATACAGGTAATATTTTGTAGAAAAGTAGAATAGTTAAAGGAAAGTAAGATAAAGAAATGCCTCTGGGGTAGTGATTATTTTGTTTTCATATTTACATGATCTGCTCTGTTTGCCTGGATCTTAATGGAACAATCTACTCATCAGGATTAAACATTCATGAGTCCCTTAAAAGCAGGTGTTTAGTTTTCCCAGCTGTGAATATGTCAGTTCCAAAAAAAATTTATAGAGAAAGTAAAGCTCTCATAAGGAAGTGTGTCTTTTACACGTTTAATTAGCTTTCAAGATTCCCACTGACTTTCATCAAAGTTGAGCTATTAACCAAAACACCTGTTTTACTTTGAAGATCACTTTTAACAATTACTTTCTGGCTTGTCCAGTTTCAAATAAAATTAAAAATAGAAAATATACCCTAAAATTTAAAATTATGACCTAATTATCTCAGTTCCTCTGGTATTTAGTGCTCTAACATCTATCTAGGGATAATCACTGGATATTAATAGGTCAAAGAGCATTGATGGAGTTTTCTTTATAATTTAGAATTAATTAAAGTATTAGTTAAATTGCGATTATTTTCAAATACAGTGAATGCAAGGAGATCTTAGTATTTAATATTTTAATATTTTAATTATTTTAACAAGTTATTAGAATCTCTAATTTTGTTTCATTGTATCAAGTAATATCTAGCAAATTAAAATAGAATAATAATATTAAATATGTTTTTCAATTTAAATTTGTGTTTTTAAACCTGGATTTATTTTTGGGAAAAAGATATAAATACATGGATTTATGTATGTGTACATATGTGATTTATAAATATATAAATATGTAAACATAAATCCAAATATATACATAAACAAATATATATACACATGTATTTATGTATATGTGGCTATAAAATTGTTATATATACATATACACATATATTACAAAACACATATTACCAAAAATTATGAGCTTGAACACTGAGACCATTTTAAAATAAATACAATTATTCTTTCCCCCCAATTTTGTGTTGTTATCCATTGCATATAGCAGACTATTGCTATACTGAACTAATTGCTAGAAAAAGTCACAGGCTGAGAAACCAATAAAGGATGAATACAATGATCAGAACCCTTCTTTGACTCTTCTCCACAAATATGACTTTTTTTTTTATTTCTAGACACCCAGAAACATTTGGCTGTGGTGAAGTTACCCCTCACTGTCTCTGAGTGATCTCTTATTATTGACTTATTTTAGACCTACTTAATCTTATAAATATGCACTTAATTATACATTTTAATTACAAATAAACTGAGATCTTGCTGTAAAATTATTTACGATTCACCACTTCTCTAAAAGTAATATGAGGTTTCCATGATTATAACTGTTTTTTCTTTTCAAGACCATGTACATTTTTAAAGAATACTGGAATAATAAATAAAACACTTGAGTTAAAATTCTCATTCTCAAAATATGATGGTTAGTTAATTAAGTCATTATGGACCTAGTTTTTCTTTCCTGTAAGATCAAGTGGTTTTCAGTAGATAATTTTTAATCAAACCACTGACAGTAAATCATGGAAATTAGAGCCCGAAACAACATCCACAAAAATTCCCAACATTAGGATCTTGATAAATACAATATAGTTGATAATATGGTGCCCAATGCAAACTTTAGAATTTTTGTTATACACAGCATATGATGGGGACCACACTCCTCATGCTATGGCATGAAAAATTACGTTAGAAAAGATTATAAATAAGTTGACAATGAAAATATAAATATGCCTAGGAGAAATGGCTGAATTAAAAGCATTATATTTTATAAAGTTCCTCCTCTATTTTAGAATTAAGTTTATTTTTCTTATACTTTTCTACTTTGTGTTTTATAAAATGATTATGGTTTTCTTTATCAACCGTAAAAAACTATGCTATTTTTTGAAAACAATATTTTGATATTCCATTAGATAGTTTATATCAATGTGGTATTATTCTGAATTTTGCATTATCCTTAAACCAGCATAAACTGAGATAATCCTGAGATAATAATCACAAAGAAAGTGAAGCAATAATGTATTGTTAGCTGTCTTTTGTTGTTGTTGTTGTTATATTTTTGTTTATTTCTTTGTTTTTTGAGACAAAGTCTCACTCTGTCTCCCAAGGTGGAGTGCAGTGGGCCAGTCTTGGCTCACTGCAACTTCTGCCTGGATAATTTTTGCATTTGTAGGAGAGATGCAGTTTCACCATGTTGGCCAGGTTGGTCTCTAACTCCTGAACTCCAGTGATCCACCCGCCACCGCCTCCCAAAGTGCTGGGATTACAGGTGTGAGCCACCACTCCTAGCCTATTAGCTGGGTTTTGAGTTAACCCTGTGGTAGAGCTCCAGTGTGCTTAGCTGGAACACAAGGAAGTCAGCTTTCCCCTATCCTGGGCAGTCCGAAATCTGAAAATTTGTTTTTTATTGAAATTCAAATAAAAGTTTTATATTTATTTCCTGATTTATTTTACACCAATTATTGTTTACTCACCTGCCATTTATTGGCACCCTTCTGAACAGTAGGGAAAATAAAAATACAAACTTCTGCCTTCCTATCGTTTGTATTCTAGTGAGGAAGGAGGAGAGATAGACATGTAGGCAAATAAAAGATTGATTACATCAGGTAGTAGGGAAATAATGAAGTCCAATCCTTGAATTCTTAATGGAGAGCTGAAGAGAGAGAAGACGTAATGATTGATGCAAACATATCCTCCACATCAGAATTCAGCTTATCAACCCTTAATAAACCAGGGCTTTAGCTCATTAACCCTAGACTGTTGAGCTTGGGACATCAGGCAAAATAGAAGGGTGTTGTAGAAAGCAACATTTAATGTATGAAATATGTATGGAGAAGAGGAGAGAAAGAGAGAAGAGAGAATACATTAAATTAAAAATAGAGAATAGTAGGGGTTACTTCTAAAAGGAGAAGGCCTAGATCTTTGTCTCCTTCAGAGTGGTGGAAATTAAAAAGTAAGAAAGACAATCAGTTCTAACTAATGGAACATAAGAAATTAAGAAGCATCTTAATTAGAAATTAATGAGCATCTTTCGTGGGAAATGGATCATGCTATTATTTCCATCAGTTCCATCATCTCGATAGAAAAATGTGCAAGCAAAAGAGTTCTCTACACCTAGGACGTACCTGCAAAAATTAAAAATAAAAAAAGATTAAAAATAAGGAAATCAAAGAACATGGCCACCACTTTCACAACTCTGGTTATGTTGGAGGAAACCTCAGAAAAGACCATAAGTATATATATAATGTATCTCACCAAATTGAACTTGGCATACCAACATTACCCATTGTCATGACAGCTCAAGGATTTTACTATCCTAAATCCTAAAACCTGTATAACTCTTCTCCCTGGGGATGGAGTGACTTGACCATTTCTTGAACACTAGGAGAGGATGATATGGAGGAGTCTTGAGTGCTCTCTAGAAATTTAACAATGGTTCTATTTTAAAGGAGTTATATTGTCTGATACGTAATCTAGCAGTTACAAATCCATTAGAGATACTATTATCAAGTTTTTTTTTTTTGAGAAAAAATACCATACTCCTAGGCATACTAGGTAGAGGACAAATGAAAGATGATTCCCTTCAGTCATTACAATTATACTTCTTATTCTTTATTGAATGAAGTTCAGACCCTTAATATCTGTTGTTAAAATGTGTCTCAGACCAGTCTATTCACTTAATACATTTAATAATGGCTTTTGTTATGTATAACATTTTAAACCTGATTATCAGATGTTAGTGTAACCTTGAACTATACATTTTCCTTATAAAAACTTCTGTAATTTTCAAGCATGCAAGCATAGACACACACACACACATACACACAAACACACATACCTTATATATAGTATATAATTATTCAAATTTTATACACAAAAATCCCTTGGGCTCAGTGTAAAGGTAAGGCAACTGCCAAGTTTCACAAACATTATAAGGAATGAAACCAAAACTGAAATCCAGGTCTTATTTCAAAGCCTCTGTGCTTTTTGCTGACTAAAATTCTCAGACGTGATGGCAATGATAATCCCTCATCTCTTATAGCATTCTTTAGAAAGCATTTTTATTTCTTTTATGTCAGGTAATCATATCATCAGCTCTGAGTAGGCAGTACAAGCATTTTATTCCCATTTGACAGGAAAATAATTTTGAATATAAAAGTGCTATACAAATATAATGTGGTATTATTGGTATCTGTGAAAAATAAACATGAGTGGCAAACAATTGAAACAATTTTTTACCACACAATTCTTCTATTTTCTATTATAAAGTTCCATTGATTTTCATAGGCTGTCTAAGACTAAGTTGACAGTATGATTTAGTGATGAAATACAATCCAAGTTGTGGTAAAGTTGTCAGAAGAATGAAATATGTAAGTATCAACATTTGCACCTAAAACTTAGTTGTTAAAATGAAATGTTGCTTCAGGACACCAAGCTCCATTGCTTTAAAATACATTTTTATTTTTCACACAATGCAATCTTTTCGAATTCCCGAAGTTAAATGAAGCATAGACTGGGGACATCCACCATTCTCATCACAGCTGCTAAAACATCATGGAGCACATTGCTAGCTCAATGGGAAAGAAATTAACTGCCCATCTGTGCAGTGTATATTTTTTGGCTTCTCATGCTTGATTAGCAAGAGGGTTTTTCAGCATGTGATAATCCAACCATTTCACAGAGATTTTGTGTGAAATCTAGACATGAACTATAAAACATAAGACCTTTCCTTTACCTAGAATCTTATAAAAGCAAGTAGAACCTACTTCAAGAATAAGTTATAATATTGCAATTTAACAAAGTATTTTAGAGAACTAGTGTCTCTGAATCAGATAGTTAATGATTAACAGCCTCAAAACTAGCATTTGAAGGACATTAAATATGGGCCCTTCAGGGTGCAGAGATAAAGTAATAGCTCTAAAATGGGAAGGAGGTTATTTTTTTTCACAACAAAAATACAAATGCAGCCAGGGAATCAAGTAGTCTGTATATGGCTTTGCTAGTCTGCATTAAAAAATTACGATCAAACCATGCATGTATTCTGTTCTAGAATTCAGAAAACTATTCAAACCCGTAAACAGCTATAATCAGTGGACTTTTAACAGTAAAGATGTAGAAAAAATAGTTGAAATTTGGTAGTAATTATAAAAAGCAATAATCAATGTAATGAGACAATTTATGACTTAAAATTATTGAGCTATTTTAATACTATTTATATTCTACACAATGTATAGTCTGAATAAGGACTAGGAGATGGTGAAGTAAATGTGTAGCATATTCATGTTCAGTCAGTCTTTCTCATTTGTCATCTGTGTACTTCATGGAACAGAAAGAGAAAACTTTGAAAAATTCAAAAGATAAGGGCAAGACAGACATTCTAAGTCAAAAGTACACTCTTTACTTTGCAACCAATAGCAGAGGGGTAAAGTATTTGGCAAGATATTCCATATCATGCAGACATGAGCTAAAAAAATAATTTGTTATTTAGGCAATTTTCAGCCTCTCTTTTTAAAAAAGGCTGAAAGTAATAGATCTTTCAATATAGTAAACATTCAGATTATCTCTAAATGTCGGCTCCTTTCCATCTACATATAAGGAAGAATTTTAGAAGAAAATGAGATGCAGCTTTGCTATAACAGAAGCTGCGTCATAAGTTACGGCAAGCGAGAACCGGATGGGAATAGGGATCAACTAGCCAGCCAGGTGAACTTTGAATTTAATTTAGAAAATGTGCTTTATCAGCCAGTTTTATTTAAATTAAAAAATAGTGTTGAAAATTCATTCAAAAATTAGTGACTTACTATGATAAGCTTTTGTTCTCATGCTTCCAGGTCTGTGAATGGGAAGAGGCTTGGCTAATCTCAGCTGGGCTTGGATGGTTAGCTCTGTTTCAAGCAGTGTTTAGGTTCAGCTTCGTTTCATTTGTGGGTTAGCCCCAAGTATATGACATGTTTCTTTTATCTTCCTTAGTTAGAAGTACCCAGGGCATGTTTTCTTCTAGAACAGCAGGAGTTCAAGGGCCAAGATAAACTATGCAAGCACATTTTAAATCCTCTGAAGACACCACAACCACTCATAATCCACTAGCCAAAGCAAATCTCATGGCCAATCTCTGAATTAGAGAGATAGGAAAATACACTACACTATTATGAGAGAAGGCATTAAAGGCATTCAGAACAGGGCGGTATTGGAAACAAAGTCATAATATACTATGGATTGACTACAGAATTCATGGAAGAAAGATGTAACATGCCTAGAAATAGCTATTTGTTGACTGCCGTGAAAATCAGAGGCGAAGTGGATAAATTGCTTAACTATTTTGTTCTGTGATAAATGTCCTATGAGTTGCATTAGTCTTATTTTCAACACAAACCAATGGCTTTTGGTGAATATAGAGAATATTTAAAGGAACTCACCATCATAACTATCTGAGGAGGGAAGAGGGAAACTGATGTTAAAGAATCTCAGCTAGATATGGAGTGTCCAGGAAGGATTATTTATTTTTGCTTTCAAGTTTTACTTTGACTTCAAGTTTTCATAGTTTGCTGCCTGCAGGAAGTATATGTGCAGGGAGGTATCCAAGAGGAAAGCAAAGTAAACTATACATAAGTGGGTATTAATATCTTTCTTTTAAATTATTTTTTGAGTTGCACTAAACATTGCAACTATCTGGCATGCAACTGAAAGAAATGTACAGTCCCTTTCCCAGAGGAAGAGATAGTCTTTGAGTGATATTTACTCTTCTCTATGCTATCTGGTTACTTAAATAATATGATTAAAATTAAAAATACTTCAATACTACAAAATATAATTAATATATCTTATGTTAGGTAATAAGTGAATACAAGAGGAAAGAAAACAAATATCTGTCAATTTATCATCAATCTATCATCCAACTGCATGTGTATATATACACACAAACATCTTGAAAGCAAAATAAGGATAAAATACTCATGACAGTTACAGTTCTTATTTTTGTTACTGGTCATGTGGTAATAGTTGGTATTTATAACTGCTTTCTTCCACTATTCATTATGTATTTGCTTTGTCTTCAGCAAGCACTTCAGCTGGTTATGGTATTTTACCTCTTTACCTTGAGGGGTGACCCAAACCATCTGCTATGTTCTGAATGTGTCCCTTAAAATTTATATGTTGGAAATTTTATCCTCAATGTAAAAGTGTTGGGAAGTGGGGCCTAATGGGAGGTGTTTAGGTCATGAGAGTTCTGCCCTCATGAATGGATTAATGCCATTGTAAGAAGGGCTTACAGGAGCATGTTTATCCTCTTCTGCCCTTCTGCCATTTAAGGACACAATGTGCATCACCTTTTTAACCTTTCAGCTTGTGCTGTATGTGGATGCAGCAATAAGTCCCTCAATAGATGATGATGATTTGATCTTGGACTTCCCAGTCTTAGGAGCTATGAGAAATGCATTTCTGTTCTTTATAAATTACTGTCTGTGGTATTCAGTTAGAGAAGCACAGAAAGATTAAGACATTTTTATTCCTGAATGGTCTGCCCTGTTATTTGAAATGCCTGTTTGAAGTTGTAGTTTTTCGTTGACCTTAATCACAGGGCATACGATTACTAAGAGATTCCCTAAGGGATCTCCTGTATTAAAGACATACTCTTCCTTACGTCTATTGTGGAGGAGTAGTCCAATTTCCCATTGGTATTCAAAATTAGTCACTCCAGCAAACACCATAACTCCCCTTTTTGCCTCTTGATTCAGAGGCTTGAGGCGCTCAAAGTGACTGAACACGGTCATAATTTCCAGTTCAATAGAGTTATTATAATTTATCCTAGGAAGAATTCCTTTCTCTGGTACTAAGCCATTTTGGCCAGCAGATCATAATGTCACTGGAACAGGAAGCAAAAATTTTCCCAGTGTACCACTAGGGGTAATAGCAAGGGGTTCCATTTTCATTTCCATTCCTTGATTCATGGAACTGTGAATCCTGGTTATTGGAAAAAGAGAAGTTTACATTGGATGTTGATTCAGAGCACATACCACCTTCTGAAGATACTTTCCCAAGCCCTGCAAGACACTGCCAGCAGCTGTAACTGAATATTTAAGTGGCCATTTCATCAAACCAGCTACTTCAGTATGGCAGGAACATGGTAGAGCCAGTGAATTCCATAAGTGTGAGTTCATTACCTCACTTCTTTTGCTGTGAAGTGTGTTATTTGATCAGAAGCAATGCTGTATAGAATATTGTAATGATGAATAAGGCATTCTGTAAGTCCATGGGTGGTAGTTTTGGCAGAGGCATTACATGCAGGGAAGGCAAATCTATATCCAGAGGGTCTATTTCAAAAAAGACAAAGCACTGCCCCTTCTATGAGAGAAGCCAATCACTTCAGGGAATGATGCCATATCAAAGGCTCAATGTTGGTCTCTGCTGCAAGCAGTTTGGGCACGTGATGGAGGTCATAGCCAAATTGATCTTGGTAAGTGTGAGTCTTTTGCTGAGCCCTTGCATAACCTCCACCCTTGACACCATGGCCACTCTTTACATGAGCCAGCAGGGAAAGAGGCTGACTAGAATTCACATAACTGGTTATCCTATCCGCTTGATGGTTAAAATTCTCCTCTTTTGAGGTGATTCTCTAGTGAAAATCCACATGAAAAACAATTATTTTTAATGTTTTTGTCAAATCAGAGGGGATATCTCACCATAAATTTGTTACCAGTTTTTCAATCATATTCTCTTAAATTCCCTGAACACCCGACCCAATCATTGGCCACAGCCCATGAATTAGTATATGACCACAACTCTGGTGATTTCTCCTTCCAAAGAAAGTGAACTATGGTCTCTATTAAGGCCGAGGCACAGGCTGAAAGTTGTTTTTCAAAAAAGAAAGTAGTTATCCTTGGGAGATGGCAGGGCCTTGTTCCAGAATCCTAAAGGCCTTTCCTAGATTTTACCTATAAGAGACTGTCAAATATACCAAACAGCATCCCTATCTGGTACTGAGATTCAAGCACTATTGGATATGCTGGACCATATGGTCCAAGTAGCATAACAGCTTGCGCAGCAACGTGAACCTGTTGTAGAGTCTTCTCATGTTCTGACCAAACCAAAAGTAGCAGTGTTTTGGGTCACTGGATAATGATTCAGAATAACATACTCAAGGTATGTTGCCTCTAAAATTCAAAGAGGCCAACTAGGTGTTATGTCTCCTTCTTGCTTACAGGAGGGGCCTGATGGAACAATGTATTCTTTACCTTAAATGGTATATCTTGATATGTTCCACACCACTAGGCTACCAGAAGTTTAACTGAGACAGAAATCCCCCAAATTTTAGTCATATTTATTTCCTATCCTCTCAAATCCAAATGGCGTGCCTATAAAAGTCTAGGGCAGTTACCACGTTTTGCTAAGTCCAATAATTATAATGTCATCAATGTAATGAACCAGAGTGATATCTTAGGAAAAGAAAAGGCAGTCAAATTCCCTGAAAGTTAAATTACAAAGTAGGGTTGGAGGATTTATACAGCCCTGAGTCAGGACAGTGAAGGTGTATTACCAGCCTTATCAGCTGAAAGCAAATTGCTTCTGGTGGGCCTTATGGAGAGAGATATATATATATCTCCATATATGTATGTGTGTGTCTGTGTATATATATCCATATATGTATATATATACACATATACATATGTGTATATACAAATGTATATATCTATAAACACATATATTTATATATATATATATAAAAGACATTTAACAGATCGATAGTTGCATGTTACTGTAGGATTAATTGAAAGCCTAAGAAGCCTTAACATTGCTGGATTAAGATTCCAACTGCTTAGATCTAAATTCTGAATGGCAGCTTCTACCCTTTATTTCTTTGTCAAGAATACTAAACTTTCTGTACCTTAGTCTCTCATCTGTAAAATTGGGATGACATTGGTATCTAATGTGTACATTTATTTTAATCATTGGATCAGCTAACACCAGTTAAAACTTTTAGCACAAACCTTGGCACTTTCTACTCAACAGATGCTGACCATGCTCATTTTAGCCTTCAGTATGTTACGGATGACTGAGCAGAATGTATGGTCGTGGGATGAACAACTAATTTGGTTGAAGACATCATTATGGATCACAAAACAGTTAAAACAGAGATAAAGGTTTCTTTACGGAGGTACTTTATTCAGTATGCAGAGTAATGCCAGAGTATGATGTGGCAAGAGGAACCTGAATATGTGTGTCTTGCTATTGATGTTCATAAAGAGGAGAACTTGTTATACTATTAGGGGAATCATGTATGCAGTGTCCAGGTGCAGGATGCCTGGTGCGTTATATAAGTGTCTAGATGTGGATTGGGTCAGGCAGGATATAGATTGAAAATGATTTAATTATTTTATCTTAACATTTTTGATTGCTTAATAAAATTATGTCCTTTCTATCCTTCTTGGATAGATTTATGTTGAACTTGTAACTCTTTATTCTGTAATGCCTCAGATACATTTTGTTTGATATTTTCTTTTTTATTTTTAAAAGTCTGTCTCAGATTACATCTCTTTTAGATATGTAATGATTAAAAATTGTAACTCATTTTTTTCTGGTTTTATACAAAGTAACTATGTGAGACAAAAGCATTTCATTTTGCATGAATAGCTACAATGTCTAGCTTATGGGAAAGCAGGCTATATTAAAATTTTATTCTTTACAGGGTCAATACCCATTAGAGTCGAGCTTCCACTAAATGTTCAATAACTGCTAGTTAGTGATCTTGATGATGAAAAATACTCTTAAATTTCTTAGCCTCAGAGACTATTATTATGCCATATAACTGTCTACAACTATTATTCCAAACATAATGGATATAATAGGTCATGAGACTATTTCATGTTCTTGGGTTATCCTAACCACAATCATTGTTTTTAAAAACCCCACCTTTAACTACCTGTAATATATAATCATCATTCTTCCTTTCTGTGACAGATTAAAGCAGCTTGCAAGTTATAAAACTGATTGAATTCTGGGTAGTAAATGTATTTTGACAAAATTTAAACACCTTGTTCTTTTTTATATATCAAGAATATTTCTTGGTAATAAATATCAGTTTGTTGCTGTAGCCTTTTGCAGCTTTGATTTTATGTAAACCCTGTATATTTTCAATTTTTTTTATTATTTATAAAAGTTCAGGATTACTGTTCTTTCTATAGCCATGGGATGATTGCTTGTTTTCTCTCCTGGGACATATAAATGGAATGAGAAAAGCCACTCCTGGGAAAAGTTGAATCCAGAAGAAAGTGTTAAAGCTATGTAGTGGAGTCTACTAATAAACAAAACAAAAGCAAAACCAAGTAAAATAAATCTCGAAGTAAATCCTGTTCTGCATGGTAGTTTTATATTTTTATGTAGTAGTTTTAAAGGTTATTTTATTTTTGCTGTTCCCCCCGTTTCCTTCCTTTTATAAATGAAATTCAATCTGCCAATGATTACATTTATTTTATTAGGGTTTGTGGTTGGTGGTGATGGTTTTTAGAGATATTTAATTTCAACAACTATACATGAATGTAGTACAAACTCTTACAATTAGATGGCATTAGATCTTGCATAAAATGAATTCTGATCACACAGAAAAAAACAAAAACAAAAACAAAAAGCAAACAAAATACCGTGTTTCTCCCTTTAAGCATGACAATAATCTTTGAGAAATTTGAGAACTATAGATAATATCTTGTTCTTCATTTCAAACAATCATGTATAGTTGTAAAACACTTTCACATATCATATACCTTTTCCCAAATTTTTTAAAAGGATAATTTGTGATTTAAAATGATAAAATGACTTTATTAGAGAATTGTCGTTATCTGAGACTTGAGGGCAAATCTTTAGATTACATATATCACTATGGTTCTTAAAAACTAGCATATGTTGTGTAAATGCAAAATAAGATAATATTATTTTAAATGTTATAATTAATATAGAAAAGGACATATACTTAGGGTGTAATACACAATATCAAAGTATCTCAAACATTAATGCCAGAATATGTGACATTTAATAGAGTTTTCAAGAATAAACTTATGCCAATTAGGCTTCTTTTTTAAAGAATGTAAAGTCAATATATTGATTCTTTCTCAATCAAGATCTTTGAAATAATTTAAAATGTGTCTGCACTTAATCAATGAGCAAGTCTATGTATTACGTAAAGTTTAGATAATAATCTGCTTAATTTGACAAATTTTGTTATATTGTATACATCTCATATATTTTTGTCTATATAATTTTGTCTCAGAATTGAGCTGGAGTGTATTTATTTAGTATTTTTTGCCTTTTTTTCCCTCTAACATCAGCAATTTGGCTCAGTTCTAAATATTAAACAACTGCTGGAGTTCTACATATTAAAGTATTACTCTGTACTAATAAGTATGTTAATGATTGCATGGTACACAAAGCAAAGCCTTATTCCTTGCCAAGTTAATAGTCTAATGGGTAAAACAGAAGTGCAGCAGATTATTTCAATGTGCAAGTTAAAGGGTTGTCCAGGATGCTTCATAGAGTCACAGAGGACAGACATTAATTGTGCTTGTCAGCTCAGAAAATAATGCCTGAACTTTTCTTGTGTGTTGTAATTCTTTCAAACATTGGCTCACTTTACATAAAAGTGAAGCCCTGTTCCAGAACATCACTTTCTTTAAGTTCAATAATTATGTACTCTGATGAAGAAAAAGTTCCCTGAGTCTCTGGCTTTGGCCCTGCAAGTATCCAGAAAATCTAAATTTCAGAGAAATTTGTGATTTTATGCCCCAGTGGCCAAATTTATCCCTTAATAATGCCTTCATTTTTATGTAGAAAAAGAACTTGAGGAAAGTAAATCATGACTCCTTTTCCCTGAAGTCCATATGCTGGACTGGACTGGCCTCCTGAAAGTGGACACTCTGGACGCTGTGCAGGTTGCTAAGCCCTTTGAAATTAAACTCTATCATAACCAGGGAATTGGGTTGGCTGGATCCATACACCACTTACCATGCTGCTCTGTAAGTGCCAAATCACTAGCCTGTACCTCCAAGATCTTGACAAAGATCCTCTTCCAAACAGAGATTTTCTTATGCACTGTTTTAGTCATTGAACTTGGCACTCTTACAAGCACATAGTTCAATATGCTCAGTAAATATATAGGTCTTGCAACTGAAATGCATTTTTTTCACTGCTAGGATACTAGTTATATTTTGTACTAAACTGTGAAGATTCCGAAACAAGGAAGGGAAAGTAAGTTTTCTAAAGTAATACTAAGTAAGTACTTAAAATAGAACCAAATTATTTTAAAGTCTGTATTATGGGCAAAAGCCAAAATATATATTGGAGCATTATTTACTCTGAAAATAACAAGTAATTAATTGTCACTGGATAAGACAAGGCTAAGAGAAAAATAAGAGTAAAAATATGAGAATGGTAATGCAGGTTTTGTCACAAGACTCTCGTATCTTTTAGTGAAATGTTGACAAACTTCAGATATGAGGAATCAATGGAGAATGTAGGCTAGCAGTGTTGC
This sequence comes from Homo sapiens, assembly GCF_000001405.40. NCBI lineage: Eukaryota > Metazoa > Chordata > Mammalia > Primates > Hominidae > Homo > Homo sapiens. The sequence goes on along the minus strand of NT_187536.1, from coordinate 166,717 downwards.
ATGATTGTACTTTTATATTTCCTCCTCTGCTGGATTGCAATTATATAATATTGAACAATATATATAAACTGGCAAGAGTGCCTAATTGCTGTATATTTATTACACTACATATGTAAAAAGATTTACAGTTAGTAAGTGCTTAATAACTACAAACTGACATCAGATTGAAATTAAATAAAGACAAGCTCTGCCATGAAAAGTTAGCTTATATGAGTCTCCTTGACCTCTGATAATAAAAATATAAATCATCTTTTGTCAATGTTTGGCCTTTAGCCATCTTGCAGTGGTTTACTTTACGTTTTCCCTAAAGTTACATGTATTTAAACAGCCATAGAAGATATGATGCAATAAACTCCTTCATTAACCTTTAATAAATCCTGAAAATTACTTGGTATAGTAAAGATGTTTGAAGAATTTGGAAAAATAACTAGATTTAAAATAATGATATTCAAAAACATCAGCAGTAAAAGCATTTATGAACAACGCTAAATAAAACTGATGGTGCCAGTTGGAATACATATTTTTCACTTGGAAACTATCCATCTATTCACACCAACAACTGAAATATCACATTTAAGGAGTGTTCCTAGAAGTCTGGAATTCTATTGCTCAGTCAATTATCGTATGGACTAACCCAGACTGTATCAGGATTTTCCAAAGAACACTAGCCCAGTGAAAGGATCTTGACTTAAGAAAAGGGGGTGTTCCATTGAAACACAACATTTCTCACTGATTCTTGGTTCTCTCCTGTTTTGGGGCACACTGAAGATTGAATTTCTTTGCACCCTGGAGTTTGGTACTTTGGAACTTGCTTTCGCAATCAGTTATAAATGGAAATAATCAAGATACTTGGCTGCAAGAGTAAAACACTTCTACAATTTTTCCCTCTGACATGGAACAAGTCTCCTGTCTTAATAAAAGACCACATAGACATCCAGGAAAAACAAACTTTTGTTCTTTTAAGCCACTGATATTATAGGGAGATTGTTATTACAACATTATCTAGTCTCTCATAACTTATGAAAGAAGTGTTACTTATTAAAAAAAAAACTGTTCCTTGACTTAGGATCGAGGGACAGGTACTATTTTAGTAAAACTGTTCAGGAGAGTTGGAAGAATGCACCAACATTATATTGTTGAAGAATATTTGGTATAATTCACACATGTGAACATTGAAAGACCAATAAGTTCATCTGGTACAAATCTTGCCTGTGACAAAGTATAACATAGAAACTCTAAGTAATTAATGTATTTGTTCTAGGGGAGATTTTGAAAAAGCAGAATATTAACAACATTGATTGCAATTGGCTTAATCTAATAAGGTTTTGCAAAAAATTAATAACAGCACACAGTGATTGATAAATTTTGATGTCATTTCAAATTTAAGCAGTAAATGATAAAACTTAGTAATGTTTTAAACAACTTTAAGCTATTTGAACTCAGAAATACTCAATATCAATTCAAGAATATGCCTGTTGTAGCCATTGTAAAGACAACCTTTAAAGCTACAGATAGATTAAATCAGGATTGATTGAATTATCCCAGAGTGAAGACACAATAAAGAATGTAGTATGCAGTGAAAGCTTTCAAATGGGCAAACTGGCACTACAAGATTCTCCAGGCAATTTTTGTATTTTCTGCGCTCCAGTCTTAGAAACCGCTACCTTATTTTTTCCTTTTTTAAAAAATTATCTTTTTTAATTGACAGATAAATTTGTATATATTTACCATATACAGCACGATGTTTTGAAGTGTATGTATACTTCGTGGAACAGCTAAATCAAGCTAATTGACATTTACATTACCTTAGATAAGGAAAACAGTACAGGGATTCCTCAAAAAATTAAAAATTGAATCCATTCCTTCTTAAAGGAACTGATTATTTTAATTAGCAAATGGTGTTTAGAAAACAAGCTCTGAGTGTATTTTCATCACATGTGCTTTTTCCTCTGAACAAACTAGACACCATGATCCTCTCTTATTACGCTGATTTCATTACCTGACTTATGTTGTTTATTGTTAGCTAGATGAAGAAACACAAGTAGACAGGCTGAGATGTGGGCAGGACATATTAGGGACATGTTTAACATAGGGCAGGTCAATAAGAAGGCAGTAAATGACTATAAAAAGAAACATAAACAGATGGAAAAACACACAAAATTGAGAGATGAGACATGCAGGTAAAGCGAATGCAGTTCTATGTGAAAAACAAGCAAGAGCAAAATGGATTCTGCTCAAAGACATGCTCACGTTGGCGCTTCCTTATATGCCCAGGATTAAATGGGAAAGAAAAATCTATATGCAATTGCTATTATATTTTAGACACTAATAAATTTGACTCGTAACTTCTCATTCAGTCTTTTTTACTTTAACCCTTCTTCCTTTAAAATTGAGTATTTAAAAAATAAAAAGAATGAGTGTGACAATTCTACTTCAACTAAACCTTTCAAGTTCATACAAACTAGGAAAAAAGCAGAAATAAGTACATAATAAAATATAACCAAATTTTATAGAGAGGTATTTATGGCCAGAAAGCATTTTTCAATTAAGAAAGAAGTTATCGAATAAATAACATTAAGTTATTATTTCATTCATTGATTCAGTCAACATTCATTAAGCACCTATTATGTTTTAGTTGTTTTTCTTTTCTTTTCTTTTTTTTTTTTTTTTTTTTTTGAGACGGAGTCTCGTTCTGTCGCCCAGGCGGGAGTGCTGTGGCGCGATCTCCGCTCACTGCAAGCTCCGCCTTCCGGGTTCACGCCATTCTCCTGCCTCAGCCTCCCGAGTAGCTGGGACTACAGGCGCCCGCCACTGCGCCCGGCTAATTTTTTGTATTTTTAGTAGAGACGGGGTTTCACCGTGGTCTCGATCTCCTGACCTCGTGATCCGCCCGCCTCGGCCTCCCAAAGTGCTGGGATTACAGGCGTGAGCCACCGCGCCCGGCCTTTAGTTGTTTTTCTATATGCTGGAAATACATTAGCAGATAATCTCTTACCTAATTGGAAATTTTAGTTGTCAGGTGATTGATAATATATTACCTTTGATTATATTAAGTACTTTGTGTTAGAACAAAACAGAAACGAAGAATGAATAAACAATTTTTCAAAGAGTGATCATAGAAGCTTAAGTAATAAAAAGACATGAAAGGATAAGCTATATGCATATCTAAGAGAAGAATTTTCAGACAGAAAGAACAGTCCATCCAGGACAGTGGTGGTATATTTCACAAATAGCAAAGAGGCTGGAGTCCAGGGAGACACATGAAGGACAGTAGAAGCTGAGATCAGAGTGGTAACAGGGAGCCAGATCAGAAAGTGTCTAAATTACTTTGGGACTTCGGCTTTAACTCCAAGAACAAAAGGAGCCATGGGAGAGTACGGGACAATGAAATAAAATGATCAACTTTTGGTTTTACAAGAACACTACTGCCACTGTGTAGGAAGACAAGGGCAGAAGCAAGAAAACTAAGTAGGAAGCTATTGCAATAATTCATAAGAGAGAAGACTTGCCTTTAACCAGGTGCTATTACAGGAGATAATATAATGCTGAATTAATGTGGATGTTAAGCCTTCAGGGCTTACAGATGGAGTTGAATGGGGTATGAGAGAAATAGTAATGTTAAAAATGCCTTAAATATTTTAGCACAAGTAGTTATCAGGCTAAAATGAAAGAAAACTTTAAAAGAGTTATATATTTCATATAGAAGGACTAGAAGTTCTCTTTTAAACATATTAAACTAATGTAGAAATGCTAAGAATACAATTATTATGATTCTGGAGTTCAAGAAACTATTTGGAGAAGAATATTTGGATACTGTCAACTGTCAACATATGGATTTTTAAAAATTAATGAAACTCAATAAGATTACCTGGAAGTACATGGAGAATAAGTAATGGAAAGGAAAGATGGGGTAGAAGAACAGGAATGAAAAGTGTGGGAGATTGGAGGAGGAATAGAAGGATCAGGTGGAGGAAAATAAGCAGACCTAAAGGTCAGACTGGGTCATACAAACATTTAGAAAACACAGAGAATAAGAGAAGCCAGTCAGAAAGACTAAGAGGAGGGCCAGTGAGGAAGGAAAAAAAAATTCAGTAGTAGAGAAATAGTCTGAGTGTTTCCTATGTCAATACTGCCACTTTAACCTGGATCAGAAATGAACATCGGCTATTCGATTTAGCAATGTTGAGGTCATGTGCAGGGTCAGTAGGATGGGTAGTGAAAATATTTAAAATGGTATTTGAAAGAGTATTTGAAATGGGATCAAGGGGAAATAACAGAGTAAAATCAGAAAGCAAGTACAGTCAACTTTGTCTGGAGTTGAGCTATATAGGAAAGCATAGAAAAGAGATGATAACTAGAAGGAGATATAAGTTTTGTATTAAAATAAAATTTTTATTAAAATGGTTTTTATTTAAATATGAAGGTTCAAGTATATTTATATCCTAATGGAAATAATCAAGTTTAAAGATAATGTTACTAATGCAAGAGAAGGAAAGAATATTGGTTTGAATTTCTTCATTTAGGTGAGAGATAATTAACAGGTTCAAACTAGATTCAGATACATTTAGGATTACAGATAAAAGGAAATTAAGGTCAGGGTCAGGGTCAATGTAGTTAGAGATAGAGTTAGAAAGACAAGCAGAAGAATTTGTCTTTGCTAAGAGCATGGAAGGTCAAAAGCTAAATATATGATATAGGTCAGGCAGTGAGTTAATGATATGGTTGAAATTCAAGGAGGATGCCTTCCGATTGCTTCTGTTTTTCAGAGAAATAGGATAAAAATATCATCTAGAGTAAGAATGGTATTGGAGTGAATGAACTAGATAAACAACCTTAGATTTCTGGGTAGGATATATAAGGTCTCAACTGAGATTGTTGTTCATGATTTAAATGGAAGCCTATTAATTGTTTCTGTGCCCTTATCCACCTGCAAAAGTGTAGCACTGAAATAAACAGAGACTGGCTTATTTGGCATAATACAAAAGAGTATAAAATAGGTAGTGAGAGACGAGGGATGCATAATATATACAAACAGGAATAAGAATAATTGGCCGTACAATTTATATGCTGAGCAAGGAAAAAGTTAATACCAGAAAGTGAATAAATCAGTGAAAGGGTGATAGGATCAATGCCTTGAAGGCACAGATCACATTTTTAAAATATAATGACTAGTAGAACATTGGTACCAACAAATTAAAACTAGCTACAGACTTGGGAGACTGAGGCAGGAGAATCACTTCAATCTGGGAGGCGGAGGCTGCAGTGAGCTGAGATCGCGCGACTGCACTCCAGCCTGGGCAACAGAGTGAGACTCTGTCTCAAAAAAATAAAATAAAATAAAATAAAATAAAGAAAGAAAGAAAAGAAAAAAACTAGCTACACAACAAACCAGAACTCACTGACCATAGACAATGGGTCTCCATACTGGAACTTTCCAGTTATTATCAGAAATAGTTGTAGGTACTGCTGGAGTTGTTAATGTGTTAAAGTTGGAACACTAAAAGGAGTTTTGTGAACAGATAGGAGATGTTCTTCAAGGTATGGGATGCTTTAAATTGAGATTATATTTATTAAAGATAGCTCTCATAGTGGATTACAGAGATAGGTCAAAGTAAAAGTTCACTAGAGGAGAGATTAGCTCAAAAAACAAAGTGCATGTCATATGGTGGGGGGGATCAACTATGTGAAAACAGATATTACCAAGAATTACAATAAGAATGTAACAATTTCCCAAAAGTTGAAATCTGTAAGGAATATCAGAAACAGTCATAGAGATCTATAGATGACTATAACATAGAACATTATCAAGTGGCATTGTCTAATACATATGCTTCAGAAGCTCCAGAGTTAGGGGAGGACGGAAAGCACAATGTTCTAACAGGGGTGATAGGAAACAAATAGAAATACCAACCCAACTTCTATCCCAAGATATAAGAGAAAACTTCTACAACTTGAGAAATCTATAGGGGAAGTAGAATTTTTGAAAGAGATTTAGATTTAAGATAGAGGAAGACAGTAAAAGGAAAAATTGAGAGATACGTTGAGAAGATAAACAATAGAAGATGAGTCGTTGGAGAGTAGGTCAGAAAAAGAATGCAAAGCCTTCTGGAAATGCTATTGAGCTGATCTTAGAATCCTGCACTTCTTGTGGATTTGACAGGATATGTTTGGTGACCTCAAGGCTCATAGATGATTTGAGGTGTGAAATTTGTGGGAGAGAGGGTAAGCATTGTTGCCAAAAGCTCTTAGTCCTATGGAACTCTGTCATCATGACTGCTAATAAAAAAATGGGGCAAAGGACAGACGTTTTTTCAAGAATAAATAATAATCTGGTTTATATTTTGCTTTATGGAAATGGAGTGACAGGTATACTACAAATAGTGAAGCCATGAAGCTGATAATTTACATTTAGTCCTAGGGAAAAGACCCTTTATTGAGATCCTACGTCATTAATAAAGTTTTAATTTATGTACTCACTTGCTTATACTTTCTCCTTAAGCCATTAATTGCCTAAATTTTGTTCATATATAACTAACCACAAAGTTTTCAAAAATGTGCTCTATTCCACACACAAAATCTTTTATATTAGCCTGGTCTTTCTGTCCAACATTCCTTTTGTCTGGTTTAGAATGATCTATTGTCAAAGGCATTTGAACCAGAGTGGCTCCATCTTGAATAGGGGTTAAGTAAAATGAGGCTGAGATCTACTGGGCTGCATTCCCAAGAGGTTAAGCATTCTTAGTCACAGGACGAGATAGGAGGTCAGCACAGATACAAATCACAAAGATCTCGCTGATAAAACAGGATGCAGTAAAGAAGCCAGCCAAAACTCACCAAAACCAAGATGATGACAAAAGTGATCTCTGGTCGTCCTCACTGCTTATTATACACTAATTATAACTCATTGGCATGTTAAAAGACACTACCACCAGTGCCATTACAGTTTACAAATGCCATGGCAATGTCAGGAAGTTACCCTACATGGTCTAAAAAAGGAGAGGAACACTCAGTTTTGGAATTGCCTCACCACCCTTTCCTGGAAAATTCATAAATAATCCACCCCTTGTTTATCATGTAATCAAGAAATAACTATAGGTGTACTTAGTCAAGCAGTCCAGCCCACTGCTCTGCCTACAGAGTAGCCATTCTTTTATTCCTTTACTTTCTTAATAAAGTTGTTTTCAATGTATGGACTTGCACCAAATTCTTTCTTGCATGATGTTCAAGAACTCTCTCATGAGGTTTGGATTGGGGCTCCTTTCCAGTAACACTATGACTGATTTTACCAAGATGGAGACAATGAATGTGAAATTTAAAAGTATTAAAAAAAGTTCTTTAAGTTTTAAAAATTGACAGAGGTGATGGTTTCACAACACTGTGAATGTTTAATGTCACTATATTTTACAGTTAAAAATGGTTAAAATGGTTCATTTTATGTTGTGTACATTTTATTGCAAAACATTTTTAAGGCATTGTATGTATTTGTTTCACTATAAATAAAAATATCACTCTTTGAAAAAAGTGCAAGAAAATCAGTTGAAGGTTATTTAATCCATTGACTACTCTAAAACATGTGCAAAAGTCCATACATAAGTTTTATATCAACTATTACATACATATGTTTTAAAATATTTTCTTCTGTCAATGACATCAATTCTCATGACTCTCTTCAACCCAGAAATCCACCTATGCCCTAACCAAATTACATGAAAATTACACAAGTACTTCAAATTCAGTAGGTTTCCAACTGGATTTATTATTTCTTTTGTCAAACACTTTTTTCTTCCCTGTTCACTAACTCAGTTGGAAACACTCTCTTCCTTCCAAAAATATAGTAAAAAGTTTTCACTATATGTTGATGAGTTACATATTAGTTAAGACTTTTAACTTCTTCTATATAAAGGACTCCTTTGCACATGATCTAGCTGCTGTCATCTTTTTGAGGAAGTGTATCACATTGATATCAGTTGTTGTCTAAAACTGCAATTCACAGTATGATACATTTTTTCTCCAAGACTTTTAAGGAATCCTCAATAATTAGATAATATATCTCATATATCTTAATATTAAAATAATACATGTTCTGGCCTCCATATATTTTGCCACTATTATGACCTAGTTAATTGTACTTAATTTCTCTTGTCCTAACCATGCTAATCCCCTTGACATTTTAAGAAATGTCTTAAAAATAACAACAACAACAACAAACTATGCTCTTTTGTGTCCTCTTGGTTTGGAATGGCCATCTATGTGGTTACTGCTTGCTGAAACATCCTTCATTCTTAAAACAGTAATTAAGATATGGCTTTTCACAAAAACTGGCTGGATTCAAGTACTGGCTTTTCTGTTTACTTATCTGTGAAAAGGGGAAAATTATTATTACTATTTAGAATGGCTGTTGTGAGCATCAAGTAACTAAATACATGGAAATTAAATGTCACATCATAAGGACACAGTTATTGTGCTGTTGCTACTTTTTTGTTATTATTATTATTGCCATTATCATTGTTAACATTTAAATACTGTTCTCTCTCAAGGTTTTCCAGCCCCCAATATGAAAATATGATTCAATAGCATTTTTTGGTGTTTATATAAAGTACAGATTTCATTATAGAATACATATTTAATAGATTTTAAGAATGGTTGTCATACAATTTAACATTTCTGAAGTTGGAATGCATCTTCTTATGGACGGCATTTTACAAACCTGCATTGGCATACACTGAGAACCAAGAAGATTCACATTTGCTTCTTCCAGTCACCTAGGGACAAAATAAACCTGAGACAACTTTCATTAAATTCTCTGCTTGAGGCTTTTGGACCACACTAGCAGTGTGAATTCAGAATACAAACCTTGCAAGGTAATGCCTAGTGATTTAAATCATCTGGGAAAGTTTTATCTCTTCCACCAAGTATCAAGGTAGAGCCTTGTTAGTTTATTTGCTGTCCTTTCTTGTAGTTTGAGGTCTTGTTTACATTTCCCTTTTGTGGAAAGGGAAATGTAAACAATGGTTAATACATAGCAACGGTTAATATATAACCCTTTTGTGGATTACCCTCAAAGGGGACTCTCCTATATAGTTTGCTCATGTCAAGCAATTTTTTTCTTTTCTGAAGTATATAAAAGTACAAAAAATAATGGCACATCTTAAAATCCATTGCATTTTGTTTTGATGAAATATTGAGATAAGCATTATATAATATTTAATATTTATGGATCAAAATTATCTTGGATTTGTTCATGCATATTATCCCTTTAAATGTGTTTTATCCCTTTTAACCTTTCAATATATCCCCTGCTCCACAAATTCTTGCCAAATGCTTTGTATGTAGAAGATGTTATATAAAGGTTAGCATCAAATTGTGAATAACGTATGTTTACTTCGTATATAAAGAACTGTAGTAAAATTTATTTATAGTGATGTAATGTATAACGTAAATACTTTACTGAATTCAAAATACAAAAAGTGCTAAATTTTGCACATATTAGATTGTTATTTACATTATAGTTTCAACATTCGGGATTAATATATAATCATATATCTACAGGTATAGTTTTTAGAAGAGAAGTAGACACAAAGAAGAAAGTATCTCATAAAGGGCAATGATAATGGGTAAGCTAGTCAAGATGGTTTTTATTTTTGCATTACCCTTTCTTCTACATATAATTTTTGCACAATGTCTACAGATAATATTGTAAAATTGGGCTGTATTGAATTTAAAATTTGTTTTTAAGAAAAGTGCTTTGTAGCACAACATGGTACTAGTGCATAAATTGCTACTGTGAAAAGTTGTGGTATGAGGATATTATATAAATAATCTAAAATAATAAATCTTTTGCAAGCTTGATCACCTCTTTGAATGGCCCATATTCAATAAACATATCTACTTAGTATCAATTTATTTTGAAAATGAAAACCAAGTAGTCATCATTAAGCTTGAAAGATGGTGTCAGATTTACACTACATTGGGTCTATAATTAAAAAGTGAAACTTGAATTAAAAAGTAAAAAATAATTCTAAAAACTTTCCATGACATTGTTTCTCTAAAGGACTTCAAAACCCACAAATCAACCTTGTGTTTAACATCTAAAATAATTTATTTAATATCAATTCCTATTTGCCTGAGTGTTCAGTGAATTTATGTAAAACAACTCCTGAAAACATCGAAACCTCTGTTTTCAAGTAAAGTTTTTAATTACAGGTTTAACTCAGTTATCAATAATTTTGACAAAAAATTGTCAAATGTGGGTATGAACCCTGAATCTGATACATTTCAATATATTAACAAGTATTTCTGTCAACTTTTTTTGGTAACAAACAGCTCCTAAGTCCCTGAGGTTTACAAGAACAAATAAATACCATTTGTTTTTTTTTTATTTCTATCCCGTGGATGTATGTGTCAGCTACAACACTGCTTGTCTCTGCTTGCCATGGTTTTGCTATTTTCCACATATCTTCTCATTTTGGGGCCCAAGGTGATTTCATAACTCTTATCTGAGTCATTTTTTTTTCTCATAGTAGAGGGCATAAGCAAGAAGCTGAAGAAAATCATGCAAAAGATTTTAAAGTTCTTCATATATGTCAAGCCTTCTTTGATTATCATGGCCAAACCAAGTTATATGGCCAAGCCTTATTATGAGACAGAGAAATATACTCCAACTACAAGGAGGCTTGGAAAGGCAAGAGGTAGAGGTGTGATAATGATTAATATATATGTATATATATATATATTTTTTCTTTCTTCTTTTTTGAGATGGAGTCTCGCTCTGTCGCCCAGGCTGGAGTGCAGTGGCGTGATCTCTGCTCATTGCAAGCTCCGCCTCCCGGGTTCACGCCATTCTCCTGCCTCAGCCTCCTGAGTAGCTGGGACTACAGGTGCCCGCCACCATGCCTGGCTAATTTTTTTGTATTTTTAGTACAGACGGGGTTTCACCGCGTTAGCCAGGGTGGTCTCGATCTCCTGACCTCGTGATCTGCCTGCCTCGGCCTCCCAAAGTGCTGGGATTACAGGCGTGAGCCACTGCGCCTGGCCAGTGATTCATATTTCTTAAAAAAGTTTTTTTAACTTTGTATTTGCATATATAGATGAATGTGGAATAAAATATATTACTGCTTTCAATTAAATGTTTCATTATTAGATTTTTCTCTAAATTATTTCACATAAATCTAGATAAAGCATTAAAGACATTAAGTTCTTTAAAAGCAGTTTTATTACATAAGTTCTTGGTAAGTACTCAGTTGAATTACTACTTTAAGTGTACTGTTTTTCATATCACTGTGAAGGTGAACCACTAAATAGTTAAGGATAATTGTGATGTATCTGTCTTCCCTGTACAATTTTTTTGCTATCTAAAATTGAGGGCAATATAGCATTTTATCCATGCTTACAGTAATCATTCAAATAGTAATACATTTATAAAGATATAGAAAAGAGCATTATGTAAGCCCTATGTCACTAAATTGAGCAGAGAATAATAGTCTATAATGGTTGAGACAACTTAGGAATTCAGAAAACCATGAAAATTAATAAAAAATTAAAGTCTAGAATGTGATTTATGAATCCTTACTTTGTATTTTCTTTCTGCTTATCTTTCCTGTAACTCTAGGGAACTTAGTCTTTCACAAAAAAAGTTTACATTCTGTACTTTCTTTAATCTAATGAAGCTTCTCAATTCATCAGACAATACCATTTATAATCACGCAATGAGAGTTGAATGCACAAAGACAACAAAGATGGCATCTCAAGAACTTCCTGAGCCCTACACAGTGAGAGGATGCCAAACCCCATTGCTAGTGATCGCTATACACTGTGAACTGATGCACTATTAGATTTACTGAGCCACACTGAGGTGTTTATTTGTAAGCTGGAAAATGACAAAATAGAACACATTCTGAATTCTAAGGTGTTCTTACCTTTTTAAAGCATTTGGCTGTGGGGACCCAAGGTGGAAATTATCCTGTATATTGACTGAAAGACTAGTCAAAGAATTGAATGGTCCCACCCAAAATACCAATAGCTTCCTTGTTGGGAAACATTGAACAAAGAGAATAATCTTTCAACATTTTTTGTTAACTATAAATTTTATCTAAATATTTTTTCTAAAAGACTTATGCAGAAGAATATATTTTAAAGCTTATATATCAAAATATTGAATCATCTCTAGATTAGAGGTATAATATATATTTTTCTTTGTGACTGTTTTCTGAAAAGTTATGATGATTTTATTTGCTTGATTACACAGATTTGTCTTTTCTATTTTAATATTTTCCACTTCTGTTTTATGTATTTGTTCTTTTAAAAATATGGCATGATGTTATTTCCCCTTCTGAGGTTGTTTCATTTTCACTGAATGCTAGTGCTGGATCGAACAAGCAAGTGACCATTTGCTCCAACTTTTATTTTCATACTCATATGTATTCAAATTTTCTGAAACAAATAATTGCAATTCAATTTTTGAGAAGACCCCCACATATGATAACTCCAAATGATTATCTTGGTGTATGTTTTAAGATAGTAATTTCTAAGACTGGCAACCAAAATCTTCCTTATTATAATTTAAAATAGTTTTGTTATTATTTAGGATTTATGTGAAAGAGGGTGAAGGTGATACATGCCATACGTCTCTACATTAAACAAATAGACAAATTAAACCACTTTTCTAGTTTAAGAGACTACCTAAATCTTGACAAAGCTGGGAGAAAAAAACATCATATTAAAAACATTACAAAATGATAAATTATATAACTGGAATGATCTTCTTAGAAAGTAAATTTATGCAATGATAATTGGATACATACATTTTCCCACAAGGCTATACATGGAGATTTTCATTATGCTGCTTTTGTGTTTGTAGAAATATGGAGAACACATAGTTTCCACTTCTAGAACAATGGATAAATAGAAAATGACTGGCACTGTGGGATTCTATGTGACACTTAAAGTCAACAATCAACATATACTTAAAATGAAACTAATAGATTTGGAAAAGATAGTGGTAATTAAAACAAAGAGTTATATATATATAATATATATATAATATATAATGTATTATATATATATATACACACACACACATTTGCATTTCTTTGGGTGAGAAGAATTGGACTGTTTAAAATAAATAAACATATATATCCTCAAATATATACATACTTTAAAAAAGTGAGAGAAGTTACACAGAGTCATATGGTTAGCCTTTGACTACCCCCCAAAACTCATCTTGAATTGTAATCTCCAGAATCCCCAAGTGTCAAGGAAGAGACCAGCAGGAGGTAATTGAATCATAGTTGTAGCTTCTCCATGTTGTTCTCATGATAGTGAGTTAGTTCTCATGAAATCTGATGGTTTTATAAGGGACTCTGCTCCCTCTGTTCAGCACTTCTTCTTCCTGCCATCTTGTGATAAGATGCCTTGCTTTCCCTTTGCCTTTCGCCATGATTGTAAGTTTCCTGAGCCCTGGAGGACTGTAAGTTAAATGTCTTTCCTTTATAAATTACCCAGTCTTGGGCAGTTCTTTATAGCAGTATGAAAACAGACTAATACACAGAGCAATTGTTATTAACTGAGAAATAAAAAAATATATACAATTCTTTGCTTCTCCATCATTCACTCTGCCATATTAATGCAGCATAACAAACCATTCCAAAACACAATGGCTTAAAACAATAAGAATTTGTTTTGTCTTGAGTCTGTGACTGAAAAATTCAGCTGGGCAATTTCTGAGTTTCACATGGATTCTCCGTCATGTCTGGGTATTACCTGACTGCTGTCTGGGGTATTATGTCTCTAGAAGTGAGCTGATTATTGCCTGGAACAACTTGTCTCTACTTCATTTTTCTCTCACCTCTCTCTGGTGGGCCAGCCTGGCTGTGTTTCCACATTGAAGGCAAAAGTGCACCAGTCCTTTTTTAGCTTTTTCTTATACTACAAATGCTAGGATATCAAAGGCAAAAGCAAGTCACATAGCTGAACTCAGAATTAAGATGTGTGTAATTATGTTATGTGCTTCATAACAGGAACTGCAAAGTCCCATTTTAAAGTGTATACATTCAGGAGAGGCAAAGGACTAGGGCTATTAAGGCAACAAGTTTATTACAGCCCAAAGGTTTAAAATCATGATTTACATTTTATTGGATGAGGGTTGCAAACAAAATGAAATAAAATATTATATTTTATTTTTAAATACATATAATTAATTAAATTTTATATTTCTATTTGTTTCTGCGCAAAACTAGAAAAAAAAATACCCAGGACAACATAAATTGGAACCTACTGTGCATTTACAAAATACAAATAGAAAGAAATACATCAACATAAAAATAATTTACTTGCAAAACTTTCAAATATAAAGCTACTTAGTCATACAAGATTCATTAAAAAAGTACTTGACAAACAACTGTTTTTCCATTATCTTAGGTGACTATGATTGTCAATTCAGTTGTTTTTGTGTATTACCTAAGGAATAGCTAGGGTCAGGAAGTAAATTTCACTCTGGTGTACAAAACATTGACAAGTATCTATGACAAGATTGGCTAATCTCACAGAACATTTGGCATAGATTTTCTTAAAGTATACTGGATTACATTTTTAGTAGGATTAAAACATTTTCTAAGAAATAAAATTTGGTGAAAATTAGTCATAAATATATAAGTCAGTCTAAGAGAATAAAGGCAAACAGTAATTGCAAAGTTGATTTCAGTTAGTATTCTATAAATATTCTCCAAATTGTATGTTAAATTTTTTATTTTATTTTATTATTGTTTTTGTTATCGTAAGGTAAATCAGCCACCACTGACAGCAATGATAATTGGGTTTATAATTTATGAGTAGCTGCCGATGATACAAAATTAAATATTGGACAAAGTTCACACATGATGACATATTATAAAACAACTAAGCAAAGAGAAGATAAGCAAGGATCAAAGCCATTTTAAAAAACTGGGTAACTTAAAAAGGCTTTTCCCTAGGCCTATCAGTTAAAAAGAAAAAAAAGAAAAAATAGAGAGACTCGTTCTCCATATAATATGGGGCTTTGAATGTGAGAAAAATAGAATCAAACACATTATTCCAGAACCTTTGATAACAAAACAAAAGTTACAGGAATAAATATTAGTCCCCATCTAAACAAATCATATCTGAGAACTTAATTAATAATGTAAATTTAACTTATCTGGTAAAATGTTTGAAAACAATTTGGCATTCTGATAGATTTTTTTTAATTAATTCTAAGGCAGTATTAAAATATGTTGGACTAGCTTTTCACAACTGAATATTAATTTAAGGGATCAATTTTTGATATGCTTAATCTCTTCAACTACTTTCTACAGAAAAATATGTGCATGAAAGACTAGAGCATAATGACATTTTGGTGCACTACTGAGCACATACATGGCAGTGGTCCCATAAGATAATAATTGTGCTGAAAAATTCCTATGGCCTAGTTACACTGTAGACATTGTAACATTTTAGTGTAAGGCATGACTCGAGTTTGTGGCGTTGCTGGTGTAAACAAACCTACTGCACTGCCAGTTTAGAAAAGAAAGTATATAGTTAACTTCAGTACATTACTGGATAACGATAATAAATGGTCATGTTACTGGTTTATATATTTTTATACTGTACTTTTTATCATTATATTAGAGTGTATTCCTTCTACTTATTTTAAAAAAAAAGTAACTGTAGAAGAGGTACTTGCAACAGCTCCATTTGTGTTACGCCCCCTGAAGACCTTCCAGTGACACAAGATACGGATGTGAAAGACAGCGATATTGATAATTGTGGTACTGCATGGGCCTAGGCTAATGTGTGTGTTTGTGTCTTAGTTTTTAACAAAAAGTTGAAAATGTTAAAAATGTTAAAAACAGGAAAAGCTTATGGAATAGGGATATAAAGAAAGAAAATATGTTTATACAGCTGTACAACGTGTTTGTGTTTTAAGCTAAGTGTGGTTACACAAGAGTTAAAGAATTGAAAGGAATTAAAAAGTTTATAAAATAAAAAAGTTACAGTAAGCTCAGATTAATTTATTCAAGAAAGAAAATTTCTAAAAAGAATTTAATGTAGCCTAATTATACAATGTTTATAAAGTCTAGAGTAGTGTAGAGAAATGTCTCAGGCCTTCACATTCACTCACCACTCACCCAGTGACTCACCCAGTGGAACTTCCAGGCCTGCAAGCTCCATTCTTGGTAAGTCTTTATAAAGGTGTACCATTTTTTTTTATTTTATACTGTATTTTTAAATTATTTTATTTTTTATTTGAGATAGTGTCTTGCTGCTTCCCAGGATTGTTTCAAATTCCTGGGCTCAAGAAATACTCCCACCTCAACCTCCAGAGTGGCTGGGATTATAGGCACACACCACTACGCCTGCCATATTCTCTATTTTCACTATGCCTTCTCTATGTTTAGATATACCAATACTTGCCATTGTGTTACAGTTGCCTACAGTATACAGTTGAGTAACTTACTGTACAGTTTGGTAGCCTAGGAACAAAAGGCTGTAAGATATAGCCTAAGTGTGTCATAGGCTATACCATCTAGGTTTGTGTAAGTAAAATCTATATTTGCCTAATGACAAAATTGCTTAACAACACATTTCTCATCATTAAGCAATGCATGACTGTGCATTTATTTTCATTTTTCTGTTTGAAAGTACTTATTGATTTCTCAACTGAAACAATGTGATGGTTAATTTTAGGTGTCAACTTGCCTAGGCTGTGGTGCCAAATTGTTTTGTAAAATACCCAGCTAGATGTTGTGGGGAAAGTATTTTTTGAAGTAATTAACATTTAAATTGGTAGATGTTGAGTAAAGCAGATTACTTCCACAATGTGGTGGTCCTCATCCAAACAACGGAAAGCCTTAAAAACAAATCTAGGTCCCTGTTAAGAAAGGAATTCTCTGTTGAGTCAAAAATAGAAATTCTGCCTAAGTTTCCAGGGTTCAGACTGGAGACTGCAATATTAACTCTTGGCAGAATTTCTAGTTTACTGGCCTGATTCTAACTTGCATGCCCCCTCAATTGCATGAGTCAAAGGTGGTTTATTTGGCCCTTAAAGTAAACCTTCTCTCTTGTCTCTCTCTCTCTAGACATGAGATTTATCTATATTTATCAATCAATCAAATTTGTCTATACCAGGAGAACTTTAATATAAACAGGAAAATGTTATCTAGGCTAGTTTAATGTAGCAAAATTCAAATCAAACACTGACGAGACATTGAAGGCAGGTAAGAAAAGATATGTGAACAATCAGCTTATAAACAAGCAAATAATCCTCCTAAGATCCCTTGATCCATATTTTAACAAATAGAAGTCTCATTTGTTCTTAGGCCAAAATGATGGTAACTTACTCTTCTATCCTTAAAAATACTCAGCCAAATATCACTTATTAAATTATTAAATAATTACTCCCCTAAACTGGAGTTCCTACATAGTTTTGAATACTTTATCCAAAATGTATGCAAGTGTCACTGGATGCTTTGGCTGTTGCTTCACCAGCGGCAAACTCTGTGGCCAGCAGCACCTCTGGCTGAATTTCACTTGCACCCACTGGGCTTGTTTCCAAACACTCATCCGACAGGCTGTGCTTGCTTCACGCTATTGGCTTAGATCCCACGTCCACTGAGGGTGAGCCAGGTGCGGAGTAGTGAGGGATGTGTAAGCAAGTGAGCACAGGGTCCAGCCACTGCTCACAGCCAGGTGCGCTGGCTGCTGTGGCAGAACGGGTAGCTCCAGGTGCTGGCTCAGGTGCCAGCTGCATGGAAGGCTGCAGCTGGACTGGGCGTACCACAACAGCTTCTGCTGCAGGCGCCAGCATCTGAACAAGGGGAACAAGGTGGCATCTGAAAACTTAGAGATGCCAGCCACCACAGGGCCCCAAGGGGTGGAGGATGAGTTACCACTCTCTCAGTCCAGCTGCCCATGGCACAGCAAACATGGGACGGTGCCTGTTTCAGCCCATTTGTATTACAGCTTGGTCAGCCACTCTGGTCTGCAGCTCCTGGGCAGGCCCAGCCCTGCCACTGCTTCCCATCCCAAGAGGCAGCTGCCCAATGCCAGCAGAGGGTGAGAAGGCTACAGAGTTACGGCTCTGGCTTGGGGAATACTGAAATCTGAGGTCCCAGAAGGGTTGTGCTGTTTACTCCCACGGTCTGATGAACAAGAGCGTGTCACTGCTTGCAGCTCAGTGAGCTGGCCAGGAACATGTTACAGCCCTTTTTGTGCCTGCAATTCAGCAGGTCCTGAGTTCCTGTCTGGAGTCCAAGAACAATGCAATAATGCAGACAACTGGAGGGTGACCAAAGCAGAGAAAAGCTTTATAGAGTCACACAACAGCTCTCAGCAGAGAGTAGACCTGAAGTGGGTAGCTCTTATCTGCAGGCAGGTAGTTCAAAAGTGTCTCTGAGTCCAGCTGAGTCTGGGGTTTTTATAGGCTTAGAATGGAAGAACTGTGTGCTGACTGGTCCAGGGTGGGAGCAAGTGCTTGCTTATTGGTCCATGGACGGATCTGGAAAAAGTATCATTAGATTGGCCAAACTGCATCAAAGAAGTTCTCACTCCAGGCAGTGTACTCCACCAGGAACTGGCAGCCCAGATTTCAGACTTTCAGCTCTCTCCAGTCTGAAGGTGGGTTTCACCAGGGACCCGCCCCTCTCTGCTGAGGAATTTTTCTGCCTCCTGCCGCTATCACAAGTATCATGCTTCATGAAGTTATTGCCATAGCCCAATGTTTTACACTAGGATTAAAGAAATTTTCAGCATAGTTACCTCACTCTGAGGATTATTAAACATTTCAACATCTTATAGTGAATTCTGCAAAGAACAATTGATTAGGACACACTGGCAATAACTAAATAATGATACATATTTTTCCTCTCAAAAAATTTAACATACTAATGAAGACTCAATATCTAAGCTACATCTCCATCACCCTGAGAAAAATAGGACAATACTGATGAAACAGAGGTAATCTCTAATGATATAAAAGGAGAAATTTACTTGAACTCAACAGCCTGAATCTCAGGATTAACTTTTACCAGGAAAAATTAACAAAATGGCGATTAATTATTGAGACATATTCTGTAAAAACTGCTAAATTTCAAAGATAAAAATTGCATGTGAAAAGGCAGAGTACAGCACACACATATTTGTCTCCCTTCTGATTGTGTTATTGCTTATTATTATTATTTATTTTGTATTTTTTAAATTATGTTTTGTTTGTTTTTGTTTGATTGGTTTGGTTGGACATTAAACATACAACCATAAAGATGAGCAGAACAAAAATGTAGCAATAAAATTATGTAAATTAAAAAAACATATGTGAGCAGCAAAACACTTAAGGGATCTCTTGTGGGAGGAGAAGGTTTGTGAGGCCTAAAGCCTAAGCTGACAATGAGGAAGCTCAAGCCTAACTCCATTTGTACTATGCAATTCCAACCGTGTTCAGGAAATGGCTGCAACAGATACTCTGGAAGGGGAGGTAAATAGGAAACTTAAATGACAAGATTATTTTCTTGTCCATTTTTTTGAAAGACAGACTTCCAAATATGTTCCTACTTTCAAATCAGTCACTCAACTGCTCCACCCAGAAAAGAATTAAAATTTTGGCCAGGCGTGGTGGCTCACACCTGAAATCCCAGCAATTTGGGAGGCTGAGGCAGGTGGATCATTTGAGCTCAGGAGTTCGAGACCAACCTGGGCAACGGGGTGAAACCCCTTCTCTACCAAATACACAAAAAATTAACTGGGCATGGTGGTGCATGCTGTGGTCCCACCTACTCAGGAGGCTGAGGTGGGAGGACTGCTTGAGCCTGGGAGGGGGATGTTGCAGTGAGCAGAGTTTGCACTCAAGAAACCTGGGTGACAGAGTGAGAACCCATCTCAAAAAAAAAAAAGAGACAATGTTTTTTCTCAAGATCACAACGTCTAATGACTGGGACACAGGAGACACAACAGAGGGTGAGGGTAGAGTACAGAACCTTATATTGAGTGTCCATATGAATGCTGAGAACACTGGGGAAAAACAGAAGATCCAACAAGTTTTCAGAGTGAGAAAAACAAAAAAGAATCAGAAATCCTAAAGTCTTCAGATGATTCAACAGCAGCACTGACAGGAAGAAGAAAATGGAGCGATGCCTTCAAAAGCTTAAATTAAGGAGATTTCCTTACTGATGCATACAATGTATGCCCATTCCAACTATATATTTAGGGTAAAGTTTGAATAAGAGCACTAGTTAAAAGTCTTCATAAATAATTACTATTCACTTTTTTCAGTATGTGACATTGTACTGAAATGATGAGTAAACCAGGGAGAGAAAGACAGAATACACAAAACAAAGAAACTAAAATAAGAGACAGCAAAGGGGATTCCTTGGGCCATGGGGAAAGGATATACAAAATGTGGCGGTTAGGTAACAGGTATAGGGAACAACCAATTCAGAATAGTGAAATATAGAAGACTACAAGAGGAAATTATCTATTAGAATTAAATTGAGAGATGCCCCAAAGAAATGTACAGATTTAAAGCGTTGCCATGGGATTATTTTGCAATTAATGACAGCAAAATTGAAGATCAAAAGCAGCCTATTTTTAACTCTAGAAATAACACAAATTTGTGCATGAAATAATATAAAAATCAAAATTAATTGGGCTTCACAGTTGTGACTAGAACTTACAATATCAAAATAGTGTAAACACTGAGTACCTCCATCTATCTAATGCACATTTTAATGTATTTCTTTAAGGGTAAAAAGCAAAAGAGAAAGATGAGAATGTGTAGTAAGAATAGGAGAAGGAAAGCAACATCCTCATTATTACTATTGAAAAGTCAATGGATAATGCTTAAAATCACACACACATAGACACAGACAAATACACACACCTATATACATGTATAATATATATAAACACATGTACATACATACATTATATACACATATATAAATTATACAGAACTATGCATGCATTATGTACATATATGTTATCAAATAGGAATACAAGCATATCATTAAGTGGTCTGGAATTAAATACAAATAATTAGTTAAAATTGTTCCTTTGAAGGAAAGGGAAGGGGAACACAGGGTACAAGGCAGATGGTTCATTTTTTAAAATTGGCTAATTTACATTCACTGGACAGTGTACAAGTTTCCATTTTCTTATCAGAAAACAGTGCAGGGTTCCTCAAAAATTATAGATCTAGCAATTCCACTTGGTATACATCTGAGAGAAATCAGTATGTCAGAGATATCTGCATGCTCATGTTTACTGTAGCATTCATTATTCACAATAGCCAACATATGAAATCAACCAAAGCATGCATTAATGGATGAATGGATCTAAAAAATGTGGTATATATACACAGTAGAATACTATTCAGTCTTAAAAAAGAAGGAAGTACTGGAGGACTTTATGTTAAGTGAAATAAGCCAGACACAAAAATAGAAATACCTCATGATTTCACTTATATGTGGAATCTGAAAAAGGCAAACTCAATAACAAAGAGTAGAATGGTAGTTAACAGGGACTAAAAGAGTAGACTGGAGAGATGTTGCTTAGATAACACACAATTTTAAGCTAAAAAAATAAGTTAAAGAGCACTGTTGTATAATACAGTGACTATAGTTAATAACAAGGCATTGTTCTTGAAAACCACTAAGAGAGTAGATTTTAAGTGTTCACACAATAAATTATGTGAAGTAATGAATATGTTTATTAGCGTGATTTAGCCATTCCATAGTGTATACCTATATCAAAATATCATGTTGTACCTCATAAATATATCCAATATTATTTTTAATTTAAAAATTAAATAAAAATAGTAGAACCTAAAAATAAAAATTGACTATATAAATACATACATTAATTTTAATGAAAAATATATATTTCTCTGACTCCAACAAAAAAGAGAAATAATAAATAGCAAAGTGTGATAATGCAGAAAAGAATGAATGAAATGAAGAGAAATTTAAAAACCCAGTGGATTGTTACCGTACACTTATTTCCTTCCCCTGCCAAAACCCCACTGAAGTGTCAATAACAAAATAAAAAAAAATGAATAAAGAAAACCTCCAGAGTTAAGGAAACAGGGTAGACAGCAACAGCAAAATAAATTGGTAAACTTTTAGAAGAGGAAAAGCAATTTCTAAAGTGATAACTGCTTTAAGCAAGTCTAAGAGGCTGAAAATAAAATGCATACAAATGGAGATACCAAAAATAGGTAAATTGATTTGCTTGTCAAAATCTTGGAAAGATTCACAAGTTGAAGGCAAGAGGAGACACAGAAAATTGTGGGTACACATGTAGATAAAACAGAAGGTCTCAAACCAAATTTACTCCAGAAGGTATTAAAACCCCAGGTTCTCAATCTAGCTCCACAATACCTGCAAATTCTCTTCTCCCTTTCTCAGTGTAGGACATTTATTTTTTGGAAAATGTAAGCAGAATCACTAGACTTAAAGTAAACAAAAAGTGAGAAACTTTTAACTTAAAGTCCTTTACTTTCCCCAGATTTCCCACCAATAGCAGCAAAGGATTTTACTCCCCAAGTACTTTACCAAAAGTTGGCTTTCTAAAGATAAGGATAGGAATAGAGTAATTCCTGGGTGAATTACTAGTTATGGAGGAGGGCTAGTAAAAAGCAACTTGTCACTTGATCATGCTAGAGTGAAATTCATTATTTAACAAGAATGGGAATTAAGTTAAAAATGAAAGCAAAAAGAAACCAATAGAATGAAAAAAGAATGTGAAAGAAAGGGGCAATATTGAGATAAAAGAATATTTTAAAAGTCTACAATTTTTATTCTCAAAGAGAAAACAAGAGATAGTGTGTTCAAAAAATAAGAATAGACCACAATAAATGGGAATGGAAAAGAAAGGGGAAGACTTAAAAATTAAAAATATTTCAGCTCCATCAAAATCTAACATAAAAGTAGAAAAAAAATCTTCCAGAAGTAGGACAAACCTACAAAGGTTAAAAAGCAAAAATAAAAGTAGGGAGAGTGGGAAGAAAAAGACAAATAGAGAATCAGTGCAAGAGCCCCAACACTGACCAGGAGGAATTCTGTAAAGAGACAGCACATCAGTAGATAGGAAGAAAGTAGACCCATTACTCTTTGCCAACTACAGTCACTTCTTACCTGAAATAAACTTTGCTGTGTCTTAATTGTAAAACAGGCAACTGTTTCTTGCAGATACTATTTAAAAATATATATGAACCAATAAATTATATATTTTTTCCAGATTAAGTATTATTCAATTATAAAGTTCTATTATAAAACCATAAAGTTCTGTTACATGGTTTTGAAATATTCTATAGAATACTTCAAACCTACTGTAACAAACCCACATACACTATGTGCTTCAGCCTTAATCTCTGCATTTGTAACCTTACTATCTGATGGACAAGGCTGTGTGATTTCTCTCTAACCATAATAAATCCCTCCTCAAAAATCTATCATATCATCTCTTTTAAACTTAAATTTTATCACAGAGAAGTCAGAGTCTTCTCTTCGGAGTCAGTCTCCTGAAACATATGAAATATAGGTAAAAGACTGTCTTTTACTAACAAAGTAGCAAAAGAAACAGTCCTCTAGGAATAAAATTCCATGTTGTACCTATCAGCACCCATGTACTGCCTAAATGTTCCTATATAGCTGTTGGTTTGGCCTCTCTCTGAGGCTATTCTCAAAGTTTTTACTAACTCATATTCTGAAAGGACGATGTTTGTTAAACTTTCTGGGGGTTCTTTAAAAAATATTTTTTCAACTTATTTTGTAACTTTTTGTTTCTTAAAAAAATCTGGTGCAAAAATGGCAAACATATTTCTATATAAAATGTAAGTTGTTTCCAAATATTCAGCACTACAAAAAAATACTGGGAAAAACATTCCTTGAATATGTTTCTGTGGGCATGTCTACAAATATTTATCTAGGGGTATATACCTGAAATTGCAGGTTTCTAGGTTATAGGTTATATTCAGTTTAAATAAACATAGTATAGCTTGTTTTCAAATCATTTATACCAAGTTACATCTTTGCTGGCAGTGTTTGAAATATTATTTCCTCCAACACCTGGCTATCATTTAAAATTATCCTTTCAAATTTTTGTCAGTTTGATGGTAATGAAATAATATCTCATTGCCTTTTAATTTTATTTTCTTGAATTCAAATGAGATTGAACGTTTTTTCATGCGTTTGTTGCTTTTTAGGTATTGCTTCTATAAATATTTTTCTTTTCCTTTGCAAGGACTCTTTATATATTCTGGATAATAGTCCTCTGTTAGTTACATGTATTTCAAAAATCTTTCCCAATTTTGGCCTGTATTTTAAGTTTATAAATAGCATCTTTGTCAGATGCAAGTTTTACATTTTTATATCATTAAATTTAATCATCTATGTCCTAATGGCCAGTAATTTTAGTGATATGAACATATTCTACTATACTTTTTCTAAACATTGTAAGGTTTTGGTTGTCATATATGGATGTTAATCCACCTGAAATTTATTTTTTGTATGTAATAAATAGATAAATACTTTTATCCTTTTCCTCAAATGGCTACTTGTCGCAGAAACCCTGCCCTACTGATTTATAACTGTTGTATATCAAGTTTCTTGTATAGATTTTTGTGTTTCTCAATTATTTATTATTCCCCTTAGTCTATTTGTCTTGCCTTATGTTAATAAAATGCTATTTTAATTACTAAAATGAAAAATATTTTTATCCTTCTGAGAAAACTTTCATATAATAAAATTCCCATTTTCAAAATATTCATTGAATAACCACAATTTGGTCAGGGAACCCAATGAAACTCTTTACTTCCACCTTTGGGAAAACAATTTACACTTTGACCTCAGGAGACCAGAAAATGTTACAACTTCTGCTGTTTCCCTTGAGGCTAGGCCTTCGTCTATTAGGTGCACAAAACACATGTTGAAATGAATAATTTAGAAATATCTGAAAGTAGTTACATGTCATCTAAAATCTTTTCCCATGACTGTGCCAAAAAATGGTTTTAGAAAATCTGAAGTGACTTGATGTGGGCTGCCTCAATTAGCATCCTGTGTTAGAAGAATGAGGATTGACAGCAGGAACACGTGATGCTTTGAAATTCACCCAGTAGTTCAAGGTCTGTTACTTGAGGATGCATGCAAGGTTAAAGTTTAAGAGATTGTTCATGATTCTTAATCATTCTGTGCTTTAGAAGAATACTGGTCATACCATAATTTTTTGACTAGGAAATATGCCATGTATGTTAAAAATGTAGTCCTATTTTTAAAAATTATATATGCACACATGTTTTCTGGAACACATCTGCTATTAAAAGTGAAGTGCTGCTATAAAATAATTAATCACATGGTTATTTCACTAAACATTAACATTTCAGAAGAATAAAAACAATTGTATTACTAATAATTTCTTTTATAAAGCTAGATTAAAAATATAAAGTAACTTAATCGATTTAAATAAAGGTAAGAGTAAAAACAATTTAATACACATTCTTGCATTATAATTCATTTATAGTGACTTGGCTTAAGAATAAGATTATTTGAATGTTTAAATATCTACTGGTATTTGGGATTTTTTTGTATATATATATTCCATATTATTATAAGTTATCACAATTAATTTATCTTTATTCTCAAAATGAAACAATTATACATGTCAGCTCTTAAAAAGTTTGGCACATTAAGTTCAAGTTTATTTGAAATGTGCATTATTCAATCTACCTGTATCAGAGATCCAGTATTACATTTCTTTTCTAAAACACTAGTTTTTCTTTCTTAGCATTATACTCAGCTACTCTGTTCCAGCAAGTTTTAAGATTTAGAATTGTTTATCAAGCAGTAAATCCTGTGAGGCCTAATGTTCAAGGACTGTGAAATCATTTATAAAAAGAGTCCCACTGAAAAAATAATTCATATTGGGACAAAGTACACTGAAATTGAATTTACCAAGAAATAATCAGAAAGAAAGCACACTTCTAATATTTTGATGATCTGCATATCTACGGATTATTTCTTATAATGGTTTAGTGTCATGACATCTGATTGGATGACAAGGATTCTTATAGGGATTCTATAAACTTAAAAAATTATATATATATGTATGTATTTCTGTGCATATATATGCATGTAATGCTTTACATTACACACATGTGTATATATACACACATATATTACATATATGTAATTATGTGTGTTAATATATACATACATATGTGTACACACACACAAACATTAGTGTTAACAAAAAAGTTGAACTATCCTGAAATATTTACAATTGTTACAACTCTTGCCTTTCATTTTTTTCTAACACAAATGTTGAAAGCAGAAAAAGGCACTTGAGCTACCTTTGTAAAAAAACAAAATTGCTGTGTAAGTACTTATAACCTAAACTATTTTTGTTATTTCCATTTAAGACATTTTTGAGGGCATAATATTTATTTTAAAATGGTTGTATTTTATTTTCATGTTAAATATATAATGAAAAACATTAGTGAGATCAACAATATTTACCCATTTTAGAATGTTTATTAAGTGAATATCAGGATATTTTATTCCATGCAATTCATTAAGCAATTAGGAAGGTAGTATAATAATGTAGAAAATACATAGAGTATCCATGTTTAGAGAAGAATAATTGTGGAAAGAAAAATGGGAAGAAAATTGATGTAGTTATTTCAGAGCTAATGGAACTGTTGAGAAACACTAGTGAGTCACCAAAGTGTTTGAGTATTATGCAGAATATATAGAAAGGCATGAAATCAATTGGTTTAAACCAAAACCTAATACATTGCTGACATTAGTGCCCACTTGCTACAGTGGGGGCTACATTTTCTACAGCTGAGAAATAATTTAAATTGAGACATCACATAGTTTATTCAATTATATGTGTTTTTTTTTTCAGGATTCTGTAAGAGTCCCTGCCATCCAATCAGAATGTCATGACACTAAAGCAATCTTTCTTGCTGAGCAGTATCAAGAAAACATCTCTAATGCACGGATTATTTCAGAACAGTGTTAATATAGAGATGGGCCTACATTATAGGTACTTGTTAATGCTGTTCTCATATCCTTTCCTCCTTCCTCACAACAAGCATAGTAATTGTCTCAATGTGCATAACTTCGAGTAATACTTACTTCTACATTTCCGTTATGAGGTAGAGGAAAACTCTTCGGAGATATCTCTAAAATAGTATTTCTAACCATTTTAAGGACATAATAAAAAACATACAAATGCAGTTGCAGAAATATTTTTTTTTTTTGAGACGGAGTCTTGCTCTGTCGTCCAGGCTGGAGTGCAGTGGCGCGATCTCGGCTCACTGCAAGCTCCGCCTCCCTGGTTCCCGCCATTCTCCTGCCTCAGGCGCCCAAGTAGCTGGGACTACAGGCGCCCGTCACCACGCCCGGCTAATTTTTTGTATTTTTAGTAGAGACGGGGTTTCACGGTGTTAGCCAGGATGGTCTGGATCTCCTGACCTCGTGATCCGCCTCGGCCTCCCAAACTGCTGGGATTACAGGCGTGAGCCACCACCCCCGGCCGCAGAAATATTTTAATGCCATTTTAGAAGGTTAGTAAACCACTTAATTATGTTTATTCTCCTGCTGACTCAAGTTAGGTAGTATTATTTATACATTTAATACTTTGAGAGAAAGAAACTAATCAGTAAGAAAGCCAGAGGAAGCACTGCTATAGTTTTTGGGCAAAGAATTTGGCAAGAATATATTTAGTTCCAATTTAGGTATGTTAAATTTAAAGACATAGAAGCTGAGTTGCTGAACAAGAGGTTAAAAATTCCAGGAAAAAAAAGTGAGTGTGAATTTGAGCTCAAAGTATTACTTTAGAAAGTATCTTAACAGTGATGATAGAAAAATATTTACCAAGAGAAAAATAAAAATATTAAAGAGGAAATTTTGGTAGAATCGATATAAAAATGGGACAGATGCAAAGAGTGTAAGGAGAGTATAAAAAGGAATTATCATAGACTTAAGAGGATAATTTATAAAGTGGAAAGAAGTATAAAAAAGATTTTAATACTCTATGATTCCATTTCTAAAACACATTCTTGAAAAGGCAAAACTATACAAACAGCAAACAAGTAAGACTATCAGAGGTTTGTGGAGGGAAGAGGGCTAAATAGGTGAAATACAGGTAATATTTTTAGGGTGGCAAAAGGCTCTTATATTGCTGTATCTAATGTAACACGGGATTTTTAGGGCCATGAAACAGTTGTGAATGATATTGTTATAAAGAATACATGTGGTATGTGTTTTGTTAAAACTTATAGAACTTTACAGCACAGAACTTTACAATGCATAATGTAAACAAATTAAATAAGTACGATTAGTAAATTGGAGGATTGCAGGATGGAATATAGTCTGTGAAAAAAAAAAAGCAACAACTGCCTTCCAAACATATAAAATAAAGAAAAACTGCATGTAAGTAATCCACTGTAGCATATAAATTTATTTCTCATAGGGTTAGCAGTTAATAATTCTGAAACCATTCTATGTGGAATTGAACAATTTGGTAAATGGAAGGTCGACAGTAGGAGCCAAGTTTCTCACTGCTGGAGTGGAAAGTTACACATAAGAAAGGAGAGAGGGCTAGAATAATCAAAGTGGTACTGAATTAGACTTGCAGATATCTTTATGAACTCACGTTTGGAAGGCAGTTGTTTTTTTCACAGACTATATTCCATTCTGCAATCCTCCAACTTACTAATCATACTTATTTAATTTGTTTACATTATGCATTGTAAGGTTCTGTGCTGTAAAGTTCTATAAGTTTTAACAAACACATACCATCATGTATTCTTTATAACAATATCATTCACAATATTAGATGGATTAATATACAAATATAGATACAGGTACATACCTATATTTATATACTATTTACCTGTATTTATAGATATAAGCACACATAGATATAAGTGAACTAGTCTGTGCTGCCATAACAAAATACTGCAGGCTTGGTGGCTTAACCAAGAGAAACATATTTATCACAGTTCTGAGAAATCTAAAATTGGGGTGATTTTCTTAAGGAGGTGGAGATAATTCATAGTGCCTTAAGAAAGGACTGAGCATAGTGACTTTCTTCCAAAAAAAAGAAATATGAAAAGTGGGAAAAAAGAGTAACTTCACCGTGGAAAAATCTGAAAGACCCTACCTCAGTCACATGCTCAAGATTAACACCAACAATAACAGTGGCATATTGACAGGCTGGATCCTTGATATGATGAGATAAAATCTTCCTTTACCTCTGTGCTTTTCCTCTCTAGAACCCATAACTAACCGTGAGAAAAAAAAAATCAGACAACCTCAAATTAAAGGACATTCTATAAAATATCTGACTAGTGTTTCTCAAAACTGTCACAGTCATCAAAAATAATAAGAATCTAAAAACCTGTTATAGTGAAAGGAACCTAAGAATGCATGGTAAGTAAATGTAATCTAGATGAGATCCTGGAGCAGAATATAGACATTAAGCAAAAACGAAAGAAATATAAAAAAGTGTATATTTTAATTAAAATAATGTATCATTAATGATCTATTAATTGTGACAAATGCACCATGAAAGACAGTAGCAATATGGAACACTGGGTGTAGGGTATCTGACAACTCTCCAACATTATCTACACAACTATACTGTAAATCTAAAAATATGCTAAAATAAAACTTTATTTTCAAAACAGAATACTGAATGAATCTTTTATAAAGTTGCTTTTTTCTTTTCTTCTTTTTAAATTTTCTATTCTTTATTTTTGTGGACACATAGTCGGTGTATATATTTACAGGACACATGAGATATTTTAATACAAGCATGCAATGCATAATAATCACATAAGGTTAAAGAGGTATCCATCACATCAAGCATTTATCCTTTCTGTGTGTTACAAACAATCCAATTATACTTTTACTTACCTTAAACTGTACAATAAATTATTGTCGATTGTAGTCACCCTATGTGCTAACAAACACTAGATCATATTTATTCAGTCTAACTATATTTTTGTACCTATTAACAATCCCTACTTTCTCTTCACACTAATTTTCCAAGCCTCTGTTAACACTGTTCTTCCCTCTATCTCTGTGAGTTTAATACTTTTAATTTTTAGCTTGCACAAGTAAGTAAGAACATGTGAAGTTTGTCTTTCTGCACCTTGCTTATTTCACTTAACATAATGACCTCCAGTTCCATTCATATTGTTGCAGATAACAAGATCCCATTCTTTTTTATGGCTGAATAGAATTCCAGTGTGTATATGTAATATGTTTTCTTTGTCCATTTGTCTGCTTATGGACACTTAGTTTTTATCCGAATTGTGGCTACTGTGAATAGTGCTGCAATAAACATGGGAGTGCAGATATCTCTGATATACTGATTTCCTTTCTTTTGGGTGTACATTTAGCAGTAAGATTGCTGGATCACACGGTAGCTCTAATTTTAGATTGTTGAGAAATCTCTATACTGTTCTCAATAGTGGTTGTGCTAATTTACATTCCCAACAACAGTGTACAAAGTTTCCTTTTCTCCACATTCTCGCCAGCATTTGTTACTGCCTCCCTTTTTTCACAAAAGCCATTTTAACTGTGGTGGGATGATATCTCATTGTAGTTTTGATTTTCATTTCTCTGATGATCAGTGATGCTGGGAACCTTTTCATATGCCTGTCTTTTGTAAGTCTTCTTTTGAGAAATGTCTCTTCAGACCTTTTGTCCATTTTTTCAGTTGGATTTTTAGATTTCTTTTTCCTATGGAGTTGTTTGAGCTCCTTATATATTCTGGTTATTAATCCCTTGGCAAATGGGTAGTTTACAAATATTTTTCTCTCATTCTGTGGATTGTCTCCACACTTCGTTGATTGTTTCCTTTGCTATGCAGGAGCTTTCCAATTTGATATGCTTCCATTTGTCCATTTTTGTTTCGGTTGCCTGTGCTTTTGGGTATTATTCAGGAAATCTTTGCTCAGTCCAATGTCCTAGAGAGTTTCCCCAATATTTTCCAATAGTAGTTTTATAGTTTAAGGTTTTAGATTTAAGTCTTTAATTCATTTTGATTTAATTTTTGTATATGGTGAGAAATATGGGTCTACTTTCATTCTTCTGCATATGGTACTATAATAGTACCTATTATAGTTTCCCAGAATCATTTTTTAAAGAGCCTATTCTTTTCCCAATTATATTCTTGTCTTCTTTGTCAAAACTGGTTCGCTGTAGATGTATTGATATATTTCTTGCTTATCTATTCTGCGCCATTGGTTTATATGTCTTATTTTATGCCAGTACCATGCTATTTTGATTTCTATAGGCTTACAGTAAAATTTGAAGTCAGGCAATGTGATTCTTCCACTTTTGTTCTTTTTACTCAAATAACTTTGGCTCTTCTAGTGTTCAATATAAGTTTTAGGATTCTTTTCCCTATTTTTGTGAAGAATGTCCTTGGTATTTTGATTGGAATTGCATTAAATCTCTAGATTGCTTTGGGTGATATGGATATTTTAATAATGTGATTCTTCCAATCCTTGTTCATGGAATGTCTTTCCAATTTTTTGTATTATTTTCTATTTCTTTAATCGGTATTTTAGAATGAGTTTTCATTATAGAGATCTTTTGCTTCTTTGTTTAATTTCTAGCTAATTTTATTTGTATTTAAAGTGGGATTACTTCCTTTGTTTTCCTTTTTCGGTTGTTTGTGCAACCATATGGAAATGCTACTGATTTTTGTATATTGATTTTGTATCCTGCAACTTTACTGAATTTGTTTATCAATCCAATAGTTTTTTTTGGTGGAATCTTTAGGTTTTCCAAAATATAAAATCACATCATCTGCAAACAAGGATAATTTGACTTTTTTCTTTCTAATTTGGATGTCCTATATTTTATTTATTTCTTCCTCTTTTCTGATTGCTCTAGCTAGGTCTTCTAGTAATATAATGGTAAAAGTGGGCATTCTTGTTGTGTTCTAGATCAAAGAGGAAAGGCTTTCCTTTTCTCCCCATTCATTAAAATGCTACCTGTGGGTCTGTTGTATACGGCTTTTATTGTGTTTAACTATGTTACTTCTATACTCAGTTTTCAAGTATTTTATTATGAAGGGATTTTGAATTTTCAAATGTTGTTCAGGTGTCAATTGAAATGATTATATGATTTTTGTCCCTCATTCTGTTGATATGCTATATCACAGTAATTGATTTGAGTATGTTGAACCATCTTGCATCCCTGGGAAAAATCCCACTTGGTAATGATGAATAATCATTTTAATGTGTTGTTTAATTTTGTTTTCTAGTATTTTGATAATATTGGCACATATGTTCATCATGGATATTAAACTATAGTTTTATTTATTTATTTATTTATCTTTGTCCAATGTGGGTATCATGGTAAAACTGGCCTCACAGAATGAACTTAAAACTATTCTCTCCTCCTCTATTTTTCAAAAAAGCTTGAGTATGACTGGTATTAGTTCTTCTTTAAATGTTTCTTACAATTCAGCATTGAAGCCATTAGGTCCTGGGGTTTTCCTTGCTAAGATAATTTTTATTATAGCTTCACACTCATTATTTGTTATTTATCTGTGCAGGTTTTGGATTTCCTCATGATTCAATCTTGGTCAATTGTATATGTCTAGGAATTTACTTATTTCCTCTCAGTTTTCCAATCTATTGGCATATAATTGTTCATAGTAGCTTCTAATAATCTCTGAATTTCTGTAGTATCAGTTGTAATGTCTTTTTTTCACTTGTGATTTTATTTATTTGAGTCTTCTATCTTTTTTCTTAGTTTGACTAAAGGTTTGTCAATTGTATATGTCTTTTCAAAAAAAAAAAATTTTTTGTCCCATGGATCTTTTATATATTTTTAAATTTCTGTTTCACTTATTTCTGCTCCTGTCTTTATTATTAATTTTCTTCTACTAATTTCTGGGCTTGGTTTGGTCTTACTTTTCTAGTTTTTTTTAAATTCATTGTTTGGTTGTTTATTTGAAGTTTTCTATTTTTTTGAGGTGGGTGCTTATAGCTATAAACTTTTCTTTTACGCCTGTTTTCACTGTATCTTGTGTGTTTTGGTAGGTTGTGTATCCATTAATATTGGTTTCAATGAAGTTTTAAATTTCCTTCTTTATTTCTTCATTGACCCAGTTGTCATGCAGGAGCACATTGTTTAATTTCTATGTGTGTGTATACTTTCCAAAATACCTATGGTTATTGACTTCTGGCTTTATACCATTTTGGTCAAAAAATATACTTGATATGATTTAGTTTTTAGAACAATTTTAAGATTAGTTTTGTGGTGTATGGTCTTTTTTTGAGAGTGATTTATATGCTGTAGAGAAGAATATGTATTCTGCATCTGTTAGATAAAATGGTCTCATAATAGCGATTAGATCTATTTAGTCTATAGTGCAGATGAAGTCCAATATTTCTTTGTTGATTTTTTGTCTGGATTATCTCTCCACTGCTGATAGTGAGATGTTGAAGTCTCCAGCTGTTATTGCATTTGGCTGTATCTCTCTCTTTATTTCTAATTATATTTGTTTCCTATATCTGGGTGCTGTAATGTTGGGTGCTTATATATTTAAAATTGTTACATTGTCTTGCTGAATTGAAACTGTATCGTTACATAGCGGCATTCTTTGTCCCTTTTTATAATTTTTGCCTTGAAATATATTTTCTCTGTATATCTATTCTTGCTCTTTTTTGGTTTCTATTTTTACAGAATATATTTTTCTATTTATTTTCAGTCTATGTGTTTGTTTACAGGTGAAGTGTATTTCTTGTAGTCAACAGACTATTGGGTTTTTCTTTTTTATACATTCAGCCATTCAATATCTTCTGAATGGAGAGTTTAGCCCGTTTGTATTCATTGATATGATTGGCAAATGAGGATTTACTCCTGCATTTTGTTATTTGTTTCCTTGGTGTTTTGTAGTCTTCTCTTTCTTCTTCACTTTTTCCTGTCTTTCTTTAAGTGAAGGTGATTTTCTCTAGTGGTCTGTTTTAATTTCTTGGTTTGTGTGTGTGTGTGTTATGTGTGTGTGCTTCTCTAGTATGTTTTTTGATTTGAGATTACCATAATGCTTGCAAATAATACCTTATAACCAATTATTTTACAGTAATAGTAACTTAACTCTGATTGTATAAACAAAAGAGTAACAAGCAAAGAGAAAACCGACAGAGACCAAATTTTCACTTTTCTATTTGTTAACATTTTTTTCTATTTATATCTTATTGTACTGTCTATGTCTTGATAAATTGTAGCTCTTACGTTTGATTTGTTCACATTTTAATCTTTCCACTCAAGACATGTGTAATATACACATTAAAATTTCTTTGTTATAATATTCTGTGTTTTTCTGTGCACTTACTATAACCAGTATTAGATTTTCAGTTTTTCTCTTTCTTTCTCTTTCTTTTCTTTCTTTCTTTCTTTCTTTCTTTTCTTTCTTTCTTTCTTTCTTTCTTTCTTTCTTTCTTTCTTTCTTTCTTTCTTTCTTTCTTTCTCTCTTTCTTTCCCTCTCTCTCTCTCCTCTCCTCTCCTCTTTTCTTTCTTTCTTTCTTTCTTTTTCTTTCTTTCTCTCTCTTTCTCTATTTTCAATAGGCTTTAACTCCTATAACCCAGGCTGGAGTGCAGTAGTGTGATCTCTGCTGACTGCAACCTCCACGTTTTGTGTTCAAGTGATTCTCCTGCCTCAACCTCTTGACTAAATGGAGCTATAGACATGTGGCACCATATCCAGCTATTGTTTGTATTTTTGGTAGAGGTGGGGTTTTGCCATGTTGTCCAGACTGGCTTCGAACTCCTGAACTCAAGCAGTCTGCCCACCTTGGCCTCTCAAAGTGCTGGGATAACAGGTAGAAGCCACTGTGCCCGGCCCTGTTGATTTCTTATTGTTCATTGACATCTTTTTCTTTCAGACTGAAGAACTCTCTTTAGTATTCCTTGTAGGACAGGTTTTGTGTTGAAATTCCTCAGCTTTTGCTTCTCTTGGTAAGTCTTTATTTCGCTTTCATATTTGAAGTATATTTTTGCTGGACATACTATTCTAGAATACACATTTCTTTCTTTCTTCAGTGCTTTAAACATGTCATGCCTCTTTCTCCTGGCCTGTAAGGTTTCTTCTTAGAATTCTGCTGCCAGGTGTAATGGGGCTCCATTTTATGTTATTCATTTCTTTTTTCTGTCTGCTTTAGGATCCTTTCTTAATATTTTACTTTTGGGAGTTTCCTTATTAAATGTGTTTAGGTAGTCTTATTTAGTCTTATTTATTAGGTTAATCTGCTGAGTATTCTATAAACTTTTTGTACATGAGCATTGATACCTTTCTGTAGGTTTGAGAAGTTCTCTGTTATTATCCATTTGAATCAGCTTTGTACCCCTATCTCTTTACCTCCACTTTAAGCCCAACAATTCTTAGATTTGCCCTTTTGAGCCAATTTTCTAGATCTTGAAGGCATGTTTTATTCTTTTTCTCTTTTGTCTCCTTTGCGCATTTTCAAATAGACAGTCTTCATGCTCATTGACACTTTCTTCTGTTTGATCAGTTCTGCTATTAAGAGACGGATGCATTTTTCAGTCTGTCAATTGAATTTTTAAGTTCTAGATTTTGTGTTTGATTCTTTTTAATTATTTCAATATCTTTGTTGAATTTATCTGATAGGATTCTGAATTTCTTCTCTGTGTTATCTTGAATTTCTTTGCATTGCCTCAAAACAGCTGTTTTGAATTCCTTGTCTGAATGTTGCTGTAACTCTGTCTCTCCACAATTGGTCCTGGGTGCCTTATTTAGTTTGTTTGATAATGTCATGTTTTTCTGGATGGTTCTGATGCTTGATGGATGTTCACTGGTGTCTGGCATTGAAGAGTTAGTTATTTGTTGTAATCTTCTTTGCAGTCTGGGCATGTTTCTACCTGTCTTTCTTGAAAAGGCTTTTTTGGGTATTTGACCTGTGTTGTGACACAAATTTTTAGTCACTGCAGTTGCATCTGCATTAGAGGGCATGTTATAATATTGTGGCTATTGCAAACTCATAGAGGTACCACATTAGTGGTCTTGGATAAGATCTGTAAGAATTCTCGAGGTTAACAGACATAGGCTCTTGTTCCATTCCCTTACTTTCTTCCAAACAAATGGAAATTGAGTCTCTCTCTTTGTGCTGAAATTCCTGGAGCTGTGGGAGAGGTGAAGCCAGCACATCTCTGAGTCTCACCTAAGGCTCATGGTGAGTATTGCTTGACTACTACTGACTGTTATGGGCCTACGGGCTCTTTAGTCAGAAGATATGAATCCTACAAGGACTGAATCTTTTTGCAGCAGGCTCCCTTTTGGCCCGGCATGTGTCTAGAAATGTCATCCAGGAGGTAGAACATGGAATGGGGGCCTCAGGACTCTGTCTGCTGCCCTGTCCTACTGTGGCTGAGCTGGTTTCCAAGTTGCAAGAAAAAGTCATTTTTTCTCTTTCCTCTCCTCTCCTCAAATGGAAGGAAGAACTCTTTCCCAGAGCTGCAAACTGCACTGCCTTCAGTTGCCTGAGGGGTGGCACAAGCGCTCCTTTGGTCATACAGGCTTGGGTCTCATTATGTCACATGTGCTTCAACTTCACCAACTCTAAGCCCAGCACAACACCAGGACTTGCCCAGAAATTGGAGTCCTTGTGCCTTGAATGTCTGCCTAATTTATTTAGAACCTAGAATACTTTATCCCTTGGTGTCAAGGCTTCCTGGTACTTAGGATTTGGCCCCTGGCATACGTAATTCACCTCTGTTTAGGGCTAGTTCAAATGTTCATTCTGTGGGTGCTGGCTGAGTTATCCCTGGTGTTGTTTTCTGAGATAACAGGGAAGCACTGCATTCCCAAATAATGTCCCACTGTCACTGTGCTCTCCTTCCCCCAAGTGCATAGATTCTCTTTCCATGCCATGTGGCTGCTGCCAGGGAATGGGAGGCGGGGGTGGCATCAGCAATTCAAGACTTTCTTTCCTAACCCTCAGTGCCTCTTTAAGTGATTTGAAGTTAAAACCAGATACTGTCACCATTCACCTGATATTTGATTCTTATGAAGGTGCTTTTATTTGTGTGGATAGTTGTTCAATTTGGTGTTCCTGAAGGGAGGATGATATCAGTGGATGCTTCTATTTGGCTATCTTGCGCCACCATCTCTCTAAAGTTGCTTTTAACACAGGAAAAACATACAATTTTTTTTTTTACATTTTAAATGTTTAAAGATGTAAAATAAAAATGAACCACATTGCAGGGAAATGACCAGTGATAAGACTCTTTAAGGCATAAGACAGAAGTGTTCAGAAAGAGCAACTCAGATGTGAAGGAGAGCAGAGTACAATAAAGGTAAAGCTGTAGAATGTTTAGAGAACTCATATCAGAAAATCTTGGTTTTGTCATTAGAGCAGTAAGTGATAAGATCAGTTGAGAAACCAAGATTTTCCTGTTTGTTTGCTTTTTTAAAAACATTCAGGGCAGAAAAATTGAAAAAAAATACACAATTTAATATAAGTAAATTGATAAAATATTTAGATAAGCAATTAAGTTTAAATCAATGAGAAAATAGAGCTTGATTTTTTAAAAGTTTTTGTTAAAGATTTTAAAATGAAATTAATCAACATGTTTTCTGACTGTTTCCATAAACATCTACCAAATTGAAGATAAAAGAAAAGATTTCTCAACACTGTGTTTGAATCAACTCTTGAAAAATTAAGGCTGATAGTGTGTCCAGAATTGGTGGGTTCTTGGTCTCACTGACTTCAAGAATGAAGCCGTGGACCCTCGTGGTGAGTGTTACAGCTCTTAAGGTGGCACGTCTGGAGTTTGTTCCTTCTGATGTTTGGATGTGTTCAGAGTTTCTTCCTTCTGGTGGGTTCGCGATCTTGCTGGCTTCAGGAGTGAAGCTGCAGACCTTCGCGGTGAGTGTTACAGCTCATAAAAGCAGTGTGGACCCAAAGAGTGAGCAGTAGCAAGATTTATTGCAAGGAGCAAAAGAACAAAGCTTCCACAGTGTGGAAGGGGACCCGAGCCGGTTGCCACTGCTGGCTCCGGCAGCCTGCTTTTATTCTTATCTGGCCCCACCCACGTCCTGCTGATTGGTAGAGCCGAGTGGTCTGTTTTGACAGGGCGCTGATTGGTGCGTTTACAATCCCTGAGCTAGACACAAAGGTTCTCCACGTCCCCACTAGATTAGCTAGATACAGCGTGTGGACACAAAGGTTCTCCAAGTCCCCACCAGACTCAGGAGCCCAGCTGGCTTCACCCAGTGGATCCCGCACCAGGCTGCAGGTGGAGCTGCCTGCCAGTCCCATGCCCTGTGCCCACACTCCTCGGCCCTTGGGTGGTCGATGGGACTGGGCACCGTGCAGCAGGGGGCAGTGCTCATTGGGGAGGCTCCAGCCGCACAGGAGGCCATGGAGGGGGTGGGAGGCTCAGGCATGGTGGGCTGCAGGCCTCCAGCCCTGCCCTGGGGGAAGGCAGCTAAGGCCTGGCGAGAAATTGAGCACAGCAGCTGCTGGCCCAGGTGCAAAGCCCCTCACTGCCTGGGGCCGGTGGGGCCCGCCCAGCCGCTCTGAGCGCGGGGTCTGCTGAGCCCATGCCCACCCAGAACTCACGCTGGTCCGCAAGCACCGCGCAGCCCCGGTTCCCGCTGGCGCCTCTCCCTCCACACCCCGCTGCAAGCTGAGAGAGCCGGCTCCCGCCTTGGCCAGCCCAGAAAGGGGCTCCCACAGTGCAGCAGCAGGCTGAAGGGCTCCTCAAGTGCCACCAAAGTGGGAGCCCAGGCAAAGGAGGTGCCGAGAGTGAGCAAGGGCTGTGAGGACTGCCAGCACGCTGTCACCTCTCAATAGGAAGCAAAAAATCCCGAAATTTCTAGTATAGATAGAGTGACAAGTTCCATAATCCAGAGTGGAATGGTGGCATGCGATGGCAAAACAGCTTTTGTAACGTGGGCTAACAGGCTTCATTTTGGGTTCTAACTTCAACTGATTGTTAGTGGTTACTTGAAGAATTGATATGGAAAAGATTCAAAAGCTTTATCAGGCTCAACAAGACATGCTATTGTACTGTACTTGATTAGTGGTGTTGGCTGCACATTCAAAAGTGAGAAAGGATCCGGTAGTACCATGCATTTTTGTTGTTGTTGTATTTTGTTAGAAAAGTTTGATTTGGGATGAGTTTTTAAAAATCTAGTGCAAAGCGTTGAAGGAAAAATAATAGTTTATTAATATGAAAGTAGAGAGAAATTTGGAGTTTGAGATTATTCCAACAGAAGACACTAAAGATTATTCTTCTGCTTAATATGCTCTGGTGGCTTCTAACTTAACTAAAATACAATCCAGAGTATGTACAATGGCCACACAGGCTCCACATGATGAGGCTCCCAGTTACCTCTCTGACATCATCTACTACCTTTCTTTCCTTCACTCACTCTGCTCCTTATCCACTGGCTTTTTGCTGTACCTTAAACATTTTGAGTACATTCCTGTTGTAGGGCTTTTGCTTATGCTACTTCTGCCTGGGTAGTTTACCCTTAGCTAGATCCAGGGTTTGATTTATCACCTCCTTCGGAGCTTTACTTACGTTTTTATTTTTTCATTAACATTTTATTTAAAATTCAAAGTCTACTCACATTCTATCTCACTCACTCTCAATATGTAGTTTCTGGTCAATTATGTTTTTATTTTTTATTATTTTAAATTTATTTTTAATTTTTTTATAACTTACCACCTTCTAATAGACTGTACATTTTATTTATTTATTCTGCATTACCTCTTGCCCCTACCACCAGCTTTACTAGATCATAACTTAATGAGGACAGAAATATGGGTTCAGTTTATGGTACTGTCACCAACACTGGTCTATGCTTGCACATACTATGTATTCCATAAATATTTGTTGAATGAATGATTAGAATAATACAGAGGATTAGCCTACAGTTGATAATATGACACATTGAGGAAAAAATGTTCTGCTGTGAAAATGTATTTATAGATATAGATATGAATTCCAAAAATTAAATGGCATTAAGAGCTGCAGCAACTTCCCAAAACATCAGCAAATAGATGATGCAGATAGTAGGTGAAAAATAATAATTGTTTCATCGCAATTTGGCCAATAGAAAAGATTGTAAGGACCAGAGATGGCACATGTAGAAAGAGAAGAAAAATTAATTGAATTAGGGCAGATATGGTACAGGTAATAAAGTCCCATTTGAATATTTTCTGGCTTGACATATATTTGCCTAAAACTTCTTAAAATAAAGGATGCAGAATAGCCTATCCCAGTGTGATAGAAGCTTCCAAATCTATTTAAAGGAAATGAAAATGTGAGAAAATCAATTATCTTTATCAGAAAAGTCATCTGCAAACAAGATAGAATTTAAAGAAATTTATGATATTGATTACAAAATTTAAGTGAAAAAAATCTAAAAATCAGAGTGAGAGAGAGAGTGATCTCAATAAAGAGACAATAAAACAAAAGAGATGAACGCCGAAGATGTTTATAGAAATAATCTTTTATTTGACATCCTAAAAAAAGTTGCTGATACATTTATATATCTTATTTTAGATTCATAGCCAAGCTAAATATTTAAATTACACAGATCATCAAAACAGAAGACTAACAAGGATATTTAGGACCTGAACTCAGCTCTGAATCAAGTGGACCTGATAGATATCCACAAAACTCTCCACCCCACAAACAACAGAATATACATTCTTCTAATCACCACATGACACTCAGAAATTGGTCACACAATCAGAAGTAAAACACTCTTCAGCAAATGCAAAAGAACTGAAATGATAGCAAACAATCTCTAAGACCACAGCACAATCAAATTAGAACTCAAGATCTTAAAAATTCACTCAAAACTACACAACTACATGGAAATTGAACAAACTGCTCCTGAATGACTCCTTGGTTAATACTGAAATTAAGGCAGAAATCAAGAAATTCCTTGAAACCAATGAGAACAAAGAGATAACATAACAGAATCTCTGGGGTGCAGCTCAGCAGTATTAAGAGGAAAATGTATAGCCCTAAATGTCCACATCAAAAAGCTAAGATGATCTCAAATTAACAGCCTAACGTCACAACTAAAAGAACTAGAAAACCAAGAGCAAACAAACCCTAAAGCTACCAGAAGACCAGAAATAACCAAAATCAGAGTGGAACTGAAGAAGATAGAGACACACAAAAACTCTTCAAAACTTAAAAAATCCAGGAGCTGTTTTATATTTTTGAAAAAAAAAATTAATAAAATAGTTACACCACTAGCTAGACTAACAAAGAAGAAAGGAGAGAAGAATCAAACATGCTCAGAAATGATAAAGGGAATTTCACCACTGACCTCACAGAAATACAAACAACCATCAGAGAATACTATAAATATCCATATGCACATAAACTAGAAAATCTAGAATAAATGAATAAAGTCCTGGACACATACACCCTCCCAAGACTGAAACAGGAAGGAATTGTATCACTGAATAGACTAATAAAATTTTCTAAAATCAAGGCAGTAACAAATAGTCTACCAAGCAAAAATAGCCCAGGACCAGACAGGTTTACAAATGAATTATACCAGAGGTACAAAGAAGAGCTGATACAATTTTTACAAAAATTATTCCAAAAAATTGAAATTTTTTCCTTAATTCCTTTATGAATCCAGCATCATTCTGCTATAAAAACCTGGCAGATATAAAACAAAAGAAGAAAACTTCAGGGCAATATGCGTGATGAACATAAATGCAAAAATTCTCAATAAAATATTGGAGATCTAAGTCCAAAAGCACACCAAAAAGCTTATACGCCATGATCAAGTTGGCTTCATCCCTGGGATGCAAGATTGGTTTAACATACACAAATCAATAAATGTGATTCATCACATAAACACAAATAAAGATGAAAACCACATGATTATTTCAAGAGATGTAGAAAAGGCCTTTGATAAAATTAAACAACTCTTCATGTTAAAAACTCTCAATAAACTAGTTATTGAAGGAATATAACTCCGAATAATAAGAGCTGTATATGACAAACCCAAAACCAATAACATACTGAATGGGCAAAAGCTGGAAGCATTCCCCCTTGAAAACCAGCACAAACAAGGATGATCTCTCTCACTACTCTTATTCAACATAATATTGGAATTTCTAGTGAGGGAATTAGGCAAGAGAAAAAAATGTATTCAAATAGAGAGGAAGTCAAGTTAACTTTATTTAAATATGTCACGATTCTATGTCTAGAAAATTCCATCATTTCAGCCCCAAAGCTTCTAAAGCTCATAAGCAACTTCAGCAAAGTCTCAAGATATAAAAATGTATGTGCAGAAATAACTAGCATTCCTATACACTAACAACAGGCAAGCAGAGAGCCAAATCATGAATGAACTCTCATTCACAATTGTTACAAAAAGAGTAAGATTCCTAGGAATACAGCTAACAAGGGAAGTGAAGTACTTTTTCAAGGAAATTACAAATCACTGCTCAAGAAAATCAGAGAAGACACAAACAAATTTTTAAAAAGCCCACGCTCAAAAATAGGAAGAATCAGTATTGTTAAAATGTCGTACTGCCTAAAGTAATTTATAATTCAATGCTATTCTCATTAAACTACCATTGACAATCTTCACAGAATTATAAAAAAAAAACTA
This sequence comes from Homo sapiens, assembly GCF_000001405.40. Lineage (NCBI taxonomy): Eukaryota > Metazoa > Chordata > Mammalia > Primates > Hominidae > Homo > Homo sapiens. The sequence continues at coordinate 124,063 of NT_187536.1, read as the reverse complement.
TTTTAAAATTTACATGGAACCAAAAAGGAGCTTGAATATCCAAGAGAGTCCTAAACAAAAAGAACAAAGCCGGAGCTGAAGGCATCATGTTATCCAACTCCAAACTATACTACAAGGCTACAGTAACCAAAACAGCATGGTACTGGTACAAGAACAAACATGTAGGCCAATGGAATTGAATAAGAAATGCAGAAATAACACTGCACTTCCACAATCATCTGATCTTCCAAAAACCTGACAAAAACAAGCAATGGGGAAAGGATATCCTGTATAATAAATGGTGCTGAGAGAACTGGTTACCCATATGTAGAAAATTAAAACTGTACCCATTCTTTACACCTTATACAAAAATGAACTCAAGATGAAGTAAATATTTAAATGTAAAACCCCAAACTACAAAATCCCCATAAGAAAATCTAGGCAATACCATTCAGGACATAGGCACAGGCAAAGATTTCATGACAAAAAAAGCCAAAATTGATTGCAACAAAAGCAAAAATTGACAAATGGGATGTAATTAAATGAGCTTCTGCACAAGAAAAGAAATTATTATCAGAGTGAACTGACATCCCACAGAATCAGAGAAAAATGTTGCAATCTATCCATCTGACAAAGGTTTAATACCCCGAGTCTACAAGGAACTTAAATAAATTTACAAGGAAAAACAACCCCATTAAAAAGTGGGCAAAGTACATAAACAGACACACCTCAAAAGAAGACATTTATGAAGCCAATAAACATATGAAACAAAGCTCAACATCACAGATCGTTAGAGAAATGCAAATCAAAACCACAATGAGATAGCATATCATGCCAGTCAGAATGGCAATTATTAAAAAGTTGAGAAACAACAGATGCTGTTGAGGCTTTGGAGAAAAAGGGATGCTTTTACACTGTTGGTAGGAGTGTAAATTAGTTCAAACATTGTGGAAGACAGTGTGGCAATTCCTCAACGATCTAAAACCAGAAATACCATTTGACCCAGTAAGCCCATTACTGGGTATATACCCAAAGGAATATTATATTCTATTATAAAGATATATGCATCCATATGTTTATTGAAGCTTTATTCACATCAGGAAAGACATGATATCAACCTAAATGCTCATCAATGATAGACTGGATAAAAGAAAATGTGGTAAATATACATCATGGAATACTAAGAAGCCATAAAAACGAAGAAGATCATGTCCTTTGCAGGGACATAGTTGGAGATGGAAGCCATTATCCTCAGCAAACTAACACAGGAGCAGAAAACCAAATACTGTATGTTCTGACTTACAAGTAGGAGCGGAAAGATGAGAACACATGGACAGATGAGGGTGAACCACACACACTGGGGCCTGCTGGGGCAGGGCTGGGAGGAGGGAGAGGATCAGGAAGAATAGCTAATGGATGCTTGCTGTAATACCTAGGCGATGGGATGATCTGTGCAGCAAACCACCGTGGCACATGTTTACCTATGTATCAAACCTGCACATCCTGCACATATACACTTGAGCTTATAATAAATGTTGAAGATTAAAAAAAATTATGATTGTTAAATCAGAGGAAGTATGTACTTAGGTATTACAAGTAGTCGTGTTGTCCAGGATGAAGCAGAGAGACAGAGAATGAGAGACAGAGAGAGAGAGAAAGAAATGGAGAAACTATATACATTTGCATACAAGTCTTAGTGTGGATATAGTTTTCATTTCCCTTAGGTAGATATGTAGGAGTAAAATCCAAGGGTCATTTGATGAGCCTTAATCTTTTAATATATTCAAAAATCGTTTTATGTTTATAGTGACTGCATTAATTTTCAATGTATGAAGGTTTCAGTTGCTTTACATTCTCATTAATTCTTGAAGTTGTCAATCTTTTACAATTTTAGCAGGCAGTAGATTTGTAGTGGTTTCTTACTGTGTTGTTAAGTTGTATTTACCTAATGGAGGCAGTGTTTACAATATCTTAGAAGCATATTAGCATTCGTATATCTTGTTTTGTAAAATACCTATTCAAATTGCTCATTTAAAATTGTATTATTTGTCTTACTGCATTGTGGGAGTTCTTTATATATTTTGAGTAGATTTTTATATCAGATATATGACTTAAAAATATTTCTTTGAAACTGGGCATTCTCTTCATTTTCTTAATGGTGTTATTGGATGAGCAAAAAAATTTGATGTTTATATTTTCCTTTAAGTTTTGTTTGTTTTGTGTCCTATCAATTCTATCAAAGAAATTTTTGCTAACTCTAAGTCACACATATTTTTTTCAAAGTTTTTTTTTAGGAGTTTCTTGATTTTAGCTCTAATATGCAAATCCACTATCAATTTGTGATTAGATATGACACTGTAGGAGTGAAGGATTTTTTTTTCCTAGATTGGTATCTTGTATTTCAACATCATTTGCTGGAAAGACTTAACTTTTCCCAGTGAATTACCTTAGCAGTTTAATAGCCATGAATTGAAACCATATATACATGTGGGTCAGCATATGGAAGCTCGTTTATATTTTATTGAAGTTGTGAAAGGAAAATAAATCTTGGGACCCCCTAATCACTAAGCCAAAGGGAAAAAACAAACTGGGAACTGAATCAGGCAAATCTGCTCCCATTTTATTTCTAATAAGATACCTACAAAGATAAAAAAGCTGCATACTTCCCTCACAATTTGCCTACAGGAATTTCTTTGCCGGCTACAAGATCTCTATCCTAAAACATTTCTGTTGAATTTCACCTTGGCAATGTATGTTGATAGCTTGTCTTCACAGGTTCAGGACAAAGGACAGAATTCAGTCATCCCCCTGTTCACCAGAGACAAACGCGTATCTTATTGCTTCCTCTGTCCTATTGTTTATGTGAAAATGGAGATTCACTGAACCAGTCTAAGGCAAAAGTGATTATTCCTTTACCCCAGAATCATGTGGAAATTGTGTATTTAGTTAAAGCCTGATCTAAGACTCAAAATAATGCAACTCTTTGTCTCTTAGCTATCTATGACCAGGAAGCTCCTCTCCCTTACCCCTCCTTCAAGTTATTCCACCTTTCCGGAAAGAAGCAATGTACATCTTACACATATTGATTGATGTCTCATGTCTCTATAAAATGTATAAAACCAAGCTTTACCCCGATCACCTTGGGCACCTGTCATCAGAACCTCCTGAGGCTATGTCATGGATGCATCCTTAACCTTGACAAAATAAACTTTCTAAATTTATTGGGGCCTGTCTCAGATACTTTTTGGTACACAACTTATATGTTTATGCTTAGGTAATTATCATACTCTCAAGATTACTGTAGCTTTGTAGTATTGCATTAGTGTACTGCTATCATCCAATATTGTTTTTAAAAAATTAAATGTAATATTGACTCTTTTTGGCCATTTGTATGTGTACATAAATTTCAGAATATGCAGGTCAGGTTCTATTTAGAACACAGCTGGAATTTTGTTTGGGATAACATTAAATCTATAGATCACTCTGGCAAAAATTATCATCTTAACAATATCCAGTTTTCCAAAACATGAACATGATACTGCTTTCCATTTGATTAGGTCTTCTTTAATTTTTCTCAGTAATGTTTTATAGTTTCAGTATATAGGACTTACATATATTTTGATAAAATATTTCACAAGTTTTTTATGATATTGTAGATAGATATTTTAAAATTAAGTTTAAATTGTTTATTGTTATATATGAAATAAATTAATTTTTTAAAATTAATCTTCTACCTTACAAACTTATTAAATCCACTTAATTAGTTCTAGTAGCATTTCTTAAATTTTCTTAGTATTTCCCTTATGCACACTAATATATTTTGCAAGTAAATATTTTTATTTTTAATCATTTCTTTCAAATCAGTACGTCCCTTATTTCATTTTCTTGAATCATTCTTGTGTCGTGATAACACATTTATAGTAGACCCTGTCAAGGTTTTAATGCTAAACCCAAAATCTAAGTTTTGTTGAAGTTGTTTCTTTTGACAGTATTTGCCCCCTGAACATAGCACACACTTACCTGTTTGTTTACTGTAGCTGGCAATTTTCATTTAAAACTAAATTTTCTTGTTAAATTATTGTTGTTTTAGCTTGGCTTTCTATGAATCTCTTCTATATATAACTATTTTAATTCCTGTGTATTATAATCTGGTATAATCTTCAAGACTCACATATTTGATTCTTGTTATCAATAATCTATACTGATAATCTTGCCTCTCGTAATGTTAACCACTTTGACCTTTCTTCTTCATTTTAAGAGCTCTTCTTCAAACTTATTCAAAGGCATACAAATTGTTCTACTCATTTATTGCATTTTTGGGATTTTTTTAGTTTTGTTTTTAGGTATTTGTTTGTGTTGACTTGATCAATTCTGCTCTTTACAGTTTTTAGTACAGATTTAAATAGATTTGTCATTTCCATGATATTTTTTCTTATTTCTTATTTTGAATACTTGATAAAAAATTTTTCTGCTTTTTAATATTAGCCAATGTTCTCCTTGTGATACACTGAAGACACATATTCTTTATATTAGAAAAAAAAAAGACTACAAAGATTTTCCAAAATGAAGTACCTTTCGCCTCTTTCAGTCTTTTCAGGACTTTTTCGCTTCATTTAAAATTTTCTAGCTAGAGATAAACTCAAACAAGGTTGAGTTTCTAGTACAATTCCTTTATTTTCACACTTTAATCTTTTTGATTTGTTTTTTGACCTGGCTTTTATGTTCTTAAATCTATTACAGTACACAGATAATTATAATTGTCCTCTCTTATATATCTGCATAGACTTCTTCAAGTGTGCAATAGTACCATCAGTCAGTCTCTAAATTAAGCGTATAGCTTTTGATACCTAAATCTACTCTAACTTTTAAAATATACTGTGAATATGGAGAATGTGTAGATTTAGAGTTTGAAGAAGGGGTGCATAACTCACAAATCAATTCCCTAAGTGAGGAAACAAATTTCTGCCATCTTTTCTGAGCAGTTCACGCTCCGAGTTCCTGGGTCAGCAAATTATGAGTGAATAATATAGAAATGAAGCCACTTTTAAATTATTTCTTGGTGCCTCCCCATGAAAGATTTTGGCATGTGCTATAAAGTCTAGCTAGGTTTTTCATAATCCACATCCAGACGCTTTATTGTTAATGAGATATTTCCCACCATGTTGTCGATTTTCTTTGTGCCAGTCTTTCTTTCTTCAAATTGCTGAGAGTTTTCATCTTTCCATATATCTATGCATAAAAAATGTGGAGACCATACATTGGTGGATGCTTAGACATGTGTCATTTTGATCTAGAGGTGTCTAGAGATACTTTTTAAAGCCTTATCATGATTGAACCCCATCTATTCTCTTTGACAGAAAAATCTCCTGGATTTTCTTTTGTGAGGTTATGTGGGGAAGCTGAGCTATAAATCCTTCATCTTCTTGTACTTTTATATGCCATATTTACTTCCCAGTAAAACTCTGATTTCAAAGCTTTTGAAGTATATTTCAAAAGACTTGCTGCCAGACTGCATCAAAAAATTATAAGAACTGGACACATAGTTATGACAAGGTTTTCAGTAGCTTATAAGTTTAAAACAATTACATTTGTCTAAATATATTCCATTGCATTATAAACTTAAGCATATAAATTATGAATAAAAATTTCTGTAATTAAAAAATAAGTAATGAAGAGAAGAGAAATGACTATTTCTGCTTATTATTAGATTAATTTCTACCTTCATTACTAGGCTTTAGTTTTCATTACTCTTCTTTCCTCATCAGTGACTAGTTCATGCTAACAGGTACTCAATAAATATTTGTTGAATTAATTTTTAATATGGTGTTCTATATTTGAAAAAGCAAATACATATAAAGTGTTAATCTATTCGATGTTTCAAAAATAGATATCCAATTTAAATATTGAAATATATAAATGAATATTAAAATATGTTATATTTTGCATTTATTACTTAGAACTTGCTGTAAGCTATAATGAAAAGGGTTGGAAGTTCAATTATTTTAATTTTTAGCTTCCATAAATGAGTGAGAACATGTGCAGTTTGCTTTTCTGTACCTGACTTATTTCACTTTGTTTTCTTCAGTTATTTACTTGTATGACTCTAAGCAGTTACATTAATTTTTCTATTAAAAATTCTGTATCTCCAAATTGCTGATGGAATACCTGCACCATTTTTCTCATTTCTCCTATTCCTAGGACTGAATATGGTGACATATGAACAAATTTGGGCCAAAAAGTGATATCTAAATGCATGTAATCATCATAATTAATATTATCAATCAGTTCAGAGAATGACTCTGGATGCACACTAAACTCACTAGTTATATGGACAAGAAGAGGAATGTATGTGACTGCAGTTAAGTTCTTATGATATCCTCCCAAATGATACCCTTGACTTCATCTCTCTCCATGCCATTTCACCCTAGAACATTACTATATTGCTCTCTCTATTTTTTCTATTTTTTTGTTACTTAAAAAAATTAAAATTCCTTGGCATGGCAAGTAAGTATCTTCATAAGGTTTTTTAAATATAACTTTATAAAATCTCATTTTCAGCTACTGTTCTCTCCTTTTCTGTTATTCTCTGTTTTTTATGTTTCTTTGGTACCAAACTGCTTGCTTTTACCTGGGCACGCTAGGATCTAGTATGCATCATTGTCTTTACTCCCAGTCATCAATATTGCTGACATGCCTAACACCTTTTTGTCCATCAAAATTCAACATCTAAGTTCAGGGTCAAATGTTACCCTATCTGAGAATCATTCCATATTTGCTAAAGTCAGATTTAAACGCCAACTCTACAGAGCCCTCTTATCATTTTGTTTAAACTTGTGTATTTTCAAGATCGTCTGCTTAGTCATTTTGCTAATTTTGTGCTTCTGGGTATCTGTACATTAATAATGAGCCCTTTGACAGAAGGACCAGTTGTTTTCAAATTTGACATAAATGCAAGTAGTTTTCTTGTAAATAAACCTGAGATCAAATCATGAACACTCATATAGTTATGTGACTTTAAGCAGGCAATTTAACTTTTCTTTGTCTCACTTTGCACAGTTGTAAAATTGGGGATATAATGCCCAGAGGAAAGACTTGTCAGAACAATTAAATTATAATATTTATTTTATTACTATTATTGCTTTTCTTAACTTATAGGTCTTTGTACTGTCTCCCTGACACCACTGTACTGAATTCGGCGCTCTGCTCAGAAACACAATTATTTGTTGAAAAAATATTAGAAATTTGACTATATACATATTTAGCTATGTTTTACCAAATGACACTTTGAAAAAATGTACTCACTTATTTATTAAACTCAAAAAAAAGAACTGTACTACATGGACATTTAAAGCTACATACTGAGCTGAAATTTCACTTAGGAGTTAGGTTGCCAATAAGATTTGCAGGCAAGAAGAGCTCAATATTAAATTTCACATAAGATAGTAACCACGTTAAATACTGCATCTATGTAAAAATAATACTCTAATTACTGTCAAATCACGGTAATCATTTGGTGACACTTTTGCTATTGTATTCTCATCAGGCATGACCTTCCATTTTGCAAAGTCTTCAAAATACTGAATGAACTGGCCACTTATTGATTATACCTTCATCCTAATGCAGTGTAACATATCATGTGCAATTGATACCCTTAATTACCTTGAAGAATAAGTGGCAGAATGAATCCCCTGGGCCGTTAAAAGCAAAGAACACTACAAACAATATTGGATTATTTAATTTAAAATAAGCACGTATTTTATTGGTAGCAACTCCTCATTTTTTTCAAACTTTTAAAATAGTAGCCAGGTGTGGTATCTCATGCCTATAATCACAGCACTTTGAGAGCCTGAGGTGGAAGAATCACTTGAGCCCAGGAGTTTGAGACTAGCATGGACAACATAGCAAGACCCCATCTCTACAAAAAGAAAAGAAAAATAAATGTAAAATTTTTTTTAGATGTTAATCTGCTTTTAATAATGTTTTAATCTGACATTATGAAAAGTCATAACAGGAAGTTGCTAAGTAAAATGAAAACCTCAGAAGATATTTCAGCAAAGAGTTATAATACCTGATTTCAGACTTTGCTGCTAGCTAAATATGGTCTTAGGAGGTAGTTCACCTGCTTTAAGCCTCAGTGTCTCCAAGAGTAAAATGAACACAACTGACTCATGGCTCCAATGATAATTACCAAATAAACATTGTGATATGGAGGCATTATTTATAACTGTCATCTATATCTTCATATCTATGTCTGTATATAGCTATCTATATCTGTCTACCTATCACGTTTCCTTATATATGCATGTCTAGATATGGATATGTTTGCATTTACATCTGCCTGAATATATGTGATATAGCTTAAGAGTGTTTTAACAGGGAGAGTACCACTACTTTATTCTATAATTTTATATTAGTATATAATACACACTTATTTTCGAGTTAAATCTTTTTCAGAGTAATCATCCATAAAGAAACTTTCAGTTCACAACACCTAAAGTCTCAAAAAATGTTGAATAGTTTATTTGAAAAATGTGCTTGAATGTTGCTAAATGAAAATTACCTTATAATTAAAAAAAAAAACTTTCTGGTTTAATTGAATTCTAGGGTTAAATGAATCCCTATGTAATTTACAATATCATCAAATAGAAAAATACTATACTATCTTACACAACAGATAAGCTGGTTTTTGTGATTCAAAATGTACGTCATCTATTATTTTCTAAGCAAAGAATCTTTTTTTTTTTTTTTTTTTTTTTTTGAGACAGAGTCTTGCTCTGTAGCCCAGGCTGGAGTGCAGTGCCGCGATCTCGGCTCACTGCAAGCTCCGCCTCCCAGGTTCACGCCATTCTCCTGCCTCAGCCTCCAGAGTAGCTGGGACTACAGGCGCCCACCACCACTCCCCGCTAATTTTTTTTTTTTTTTTTTGTAGAGACGGGGTTTCACCGTGTTAGCCAAGATGGTCTCGATCTCCTGACCTCATGATCCGCCCGCCTAGGCCTCCCAAAGTGCTGGGATTACAGACGTGAGCCACCGCGCCCAGCCAAGAATCTTTTATTTTCAAGCACTTTTAGAGGAAAAACAATAATTGCATTTCTCTAATTACAATCATATGATATGTAATATCATATTACATTATTATATTAACAGAGCACCTTGTGAGCAAAATTGCTACAGCACAAAACCCATAGGAATGTGTACATCAGAAATGCTGGTTTCTATGAGATGTTTAAAAGACACTCATATAAAGGTGGTAAGTGCATGAATCCATAATTTATGAACTAAAATTCCAGTATGACAATTTCTATATATTATTAGCATGTTACTCAGGAGCTAATGTAGTAACTGTGATCTTTTGATTTTTTTAATACATAAGAGTTTTTAACATTCTTGTCTACAACCAATTTTATAACTTGATTTATAAATAAAACTGATAAAACATAAAATGTTTGTTACTGGCCAGGTGCTGTGGCTCACGCCTTTAATCCCAGCATTTGGGAGGCTGAGGTAGGTGGATCACTTGAGCAAGGAGTTCGAGACCAGCCTGGACAACACAAAATTAGCTGGACATGGTGGTGCAGGCATGTAGTCCCAGCTACTTGGGGAGCTGAGGCCAGAGTATAGCTTGAACCATGGAGGCCAAGGCTGCACTCCAGCCTGGGTGACAGAGTGAGCACTTGTCTCAAGAAAAATAAAAATATATATATATATAAAATAAAAAGAAAATGTTAATTACTCATACAAGTTGGCCAGTGTATATATACCATCTTAGTATCACAAATTTTAATGTATTTAGGTAATACCGAGGATCTTGATAAAATACAGACTTCTAGTTCAGTACATTTGAGTGATCTAACAACTCTTCCAGATAATAAGTCTGTTGGCCACTTACTTCATATTCTGAGCAGCCATATACTAAATAATAGGTGATACACTTTATACATTAAAATAATTTAGAAGTAAAAAATGAAAGTGAAATTCATAAATAATTTCAAAGATGTTGTGTCCCTTTGAGGAAGCATTTTGTAGTGTTACAGCAAATATAACCAGCAGCTGTTTCTCAAAGAGATCTATGGCAATTTATCAGAGTACCCATATAATGGGGAAATACATCTTTCAAGGGATATTGTATATGGGGTCTACAGAGATGTTCATATAAAGAGACCCAAAATGCCATTACAGTTCCCCTCCTACAGTGGGACCATGTAGAAGCACTGTGAGAAGCACTTGGTCCTGGTACAAGGCTGTTTTACAAGTATAAGTTCACATATCACACCTGTGACTATTTCTTATATCCCTGAGTACATAATTGAGGTAGATATATTTAGCAATTAGCAGAACACTGATATGAAGTCCACGGATCGATTATTAGGGGAAAGGCCAAATGGAAGTCACTGAAAGTTCCCTTCCTTGACCTAATTAGTAAAACTGAAGCAGTTATATCCAAGGTACAATGACAAATATTAGAACCACTCATACAGACTTAAAAAATGTAGCACTGGTGGTGCCCATCATACCCTTTTAAAAAAATCAGAATTACAACTTCAAAAACAAGATGAATCAGGGCAGAAGAAGAACTAAATTGAACTTCAAAAGAAGTTGTAGCCACAATTTGCACTGCCTCACATGATGTGGTGACTTTTCCAGAACATGTCATCACAGCTTCTCACACTTGATACTCAGCTATTGATCTGGTGAATGCCTTCATTTCAGTCCCATCAGGAAAGCACATCAGACTGTAGTAATTGTTTTTAGTCTTGTCCCAGGCCAGAGTTAACTCTTCTGCTCTCTGTAACTATATAGTCCAAATAAATTTTACTTAAACTTTTACTGATAATTGACAGAACATCTACTGGTGCACTATCTTAATGACATCATGTTAATAAGACATGTTTGACAAGTGGTAACTATGTTAGTTAGTCTGGTAAAATACATGTACACCAGAGACTGGAAGATAAACTCTAAAAAGGCTTATTATCATCAGGGAAATATTAGGAGTACAGTGATATTTCACATGTTGAGACATCTCATTGGGGGAAAAAAAGGATGATACAATTCATCTCAACCTCCATCAAAGGAAAAGAGGCAAAATATTTGATCAGCTACTTTTGAATTTTGGAGATAATATGTAAAACATTGGGCATACTTATATCATCTCTTTTCCAGGTGACTCAGAAGGTTGCTGGTTTTGAGAAGGCTCTACAGCAGGTGCAGGCTGTGGTCCAAGAGGTATCTATGATATATAATGATACTTTGGCAGGTTACTGGAAAGCTTAGACAGATGAGACTCAGTGAAGTTCTCTAGATTTTGGAGCAAGAGTGCATCATTCTGGATTGCATGGGTAGCTTCTTCAAAACCATATTCTTGAAATATTTATTATTATCATGTTTAGAGAAAGAATAAAGCAACAGTACTACTGTTAGTAACAACTCAGTCTTCTCTCCCTTGTTCTGAGTAAATAACCCACAGAGCACAACCATGGCCCTTCACACTAGATGACTTCCATCTTTCTTAGAAGTCTACTTCATAAACATTGTGTGTTCATTACTGCTTTTTAAGGATCTTATCACAATGTAGTAGGTCAATAATTATTTTTTTCAAACATATAATGCGTAATTTTCTCCATACTTTTATTTTTATAATGTGATGCTCTAATAACTCAAATAGCATGTGTATGTCATAGATTCTAAAAATAATAGACGCAACGTTAAATTGTAGATTGCTAATAAAGCATCCTTGTGTTATGTACAATAAAAATTACATTAATAATAGCCTGGGTATGAGTATTATAATGTTGTCTTGATTAATATTAAATTTTATAATTTGTATAACAGAATGCTAATGATATACATTTTTCAAGTAATTTTTGAACATGCTGTGTAGATTTAACACTGATGCTGTACTAATCAGAACATTATCACATGTATCTCCAAAAATATAGTAGTAAAAATTTAGAAAAATAAATACTTGACATAAGAAGCAGTAATCATATATTTTTTCAAGAATATTCAGAGAGAACCTAGATAATGTTTTCAGAAAGAAAAAGAGAAAGAGAATAAAATTGCAATGGAGAATGAAGGTGAAAGCTTCGGCTTTTATTCCAATTCTGCCACTTACTAGCTTTCTGGTCTCAGGCAAGTCATCTCACCTCTTTATATTTTATAAAATATTGTGTAGATTTAATGAGAAAGCAAATATGACACGGCATTCTCATTATTAAATTATAACAAAATTAAATATAGACTTAATGTATCTTTAATGTATAAATATAATGCAATATTTATGAGTGTGTGTGTGATATCAAGTTTTTTGCCACATGGATATAAATTTATCATAGTTGAAATCAATCACATAATTCTGCCTTTAATTTCTAAAATAGCTTTGTGGACGGTTAAACTATATGAATTTAAGATAACACTGCAAAATTCTACCCAAGTTGAGCAGTTATGTCTTCAATTACTCTCCTGTAAAGTAAATCAACCATACTTTCTTCACAACTTGATTCTAAAAGTTGAAAAACAGTTTGGAACACACCAGGAGTTTTATTTGCTTAGCTTTAGATTGAGAGTGTGGTGACGCAAAGGTGAGAAAAAAAAAAGGAATTGGTGATTACTTTTAAAATATTATTTTAGTATGTTAATGATTACATGGAACATAAGTTAATTTTTATAATTTTTCACATATTAAAAATAAGTAAAAATGAAAACTAATTTACCTTTACTATCACATTTAATTGAAATACCAGCAAAAACAAAAACGAATAAAAAAACATTTAAATAATCATAATCAATTTAACATTGGTACTTCAGACTTTGTTGTAGTTTTCTCCTCTAGACTTGCATGAACAATATAATGAGCCTACAATGTAAAGACCTAGAATTGTGCAAATAAAATGGCCAAAGCTTGGGCGTCAGGCAATCTGACTTTAAAGTTTCTGTCTCAGCACCCTAACTTTCCAGCTTCAGACATATCTCCTCTTAATCTGCCACATTTTACACTTCGCAAATATTTTTACAAACTTTTACAAAATTACACTTTGGAGATCTTTTTCAAATTGAAGGTTTGTGGCAATCCCATGTCAAGTAAAACTATCAGTATCATTTTTCCCAACAGTATGTGCTCACTTTGAGTCTCTGTGTCACATATTGGTAATTCTTGCAATATTTTAAACATCTTCATTATTATTATACTTGATTACAGTGGTCTGCAATCAGTGATGTTTGGGGTTACTTTTGTAATTGTGTTGGGGAACTACAAACTGTACCCATATATGATGGTGAACTTAATGGATAAATGTGTGTGTTCTGACTGATCCACCAACCAATCGTTCCTCCATCTCTCTCCCTCTCCTAGGGCCTCCCTATTCCTTAAGACAGAACAATACTGAAATTAGGTCAGTTAGTAACCGTACAATGGCCTTTAGGTATTCCAGTGAAAGTCACACTTTTCTCACTTTATAGCAAAAGCTAAAAATGATTAAGCTTAGTGAGAAAGGCATGTTGAGCGCTGAGATAGGCTGAAAGCTAGGCCTCTTGTACCAGTTAGACAACCTGTGAAGGCAAAAGAAAAACTTTTGAGGAAAATTAAAAATGCTACTCCAGTGAATACAAGAATAGCAAAACAGCTTTATTTCCATTATGGTGAAAATTTGAGTGGTCTGGGTAGAAGATGACAGCATTCCCTTAAGCCAAACTTCACTCAGAGCAACATTCCCTTAAGCCAAACTTCACTCAGACCACAACATTCCCTTAAGCCAAACCTCACTCAGAGCAAGGCCCCAACTCTCTTTAATTCTATGTAGTTTGAAATACATGAGGAAGCTGCAGAAAAAAAAAAAGTTTGAAGCTAACAGAGATTGATTCATGAGACTTAAGGAAGGAAGCTCTCTCCACAACACAAAATAGCAAGGCAAAGTAGCAAATGCTGATTAGAAGCTGCAGCAAGTTACCCAAAAGATCTATGTAAGATAAGTCATGAGTTGGCTACACTAAACAACAGACTCTGTAAGTAGAAAAAAAAAAGAACATTCTCATGTTAGAAAACGTCATCTAGGGCTTACATAGGTAGAGAGAAGAAGCCAGTGTCTGACATCAAAATTTCAAATGATAGGTATACTCTCTTGTTAGGGACTAATGCTGCTGGTAAATTTAAGTTGAACCCATAGCTCATTTAGTATTCTGCCTAGAGCCCTTAAGGATTCTGCTAAATCTATTCTGCCTGTGCTCTAGAAATAGAACAATAAAGACCTGATGATAGCACATCTGTTTACAGCATGGTTTGCTGAATATTTTAAGCCCAAGGTTGAAACTTAGAACTTAGAAATAATTACTTTCAAACTATTACTCATCAGTGACAATGTACCTCATCACCCAAGAGCTGTCATGGAGGTGTACAAGGATATTAATGTTGTTTTCATTCCTGTTGACACAACATCCAATCTGCAGACCATAGATCAAGGAGTCATTTTTACTTTAAAGTCTTATTATTTAAGAAATACATTTTATAAGGCTATAGCTGCTATAGACAGTGATTTCTCTGATGGAACTGGGCAAAGTAAATTAAAAAATAACTCTTGGAAAGTATTCTCCATTCAAGATACCTTTAAGAATGTTCATGATTCATGGAAGAAAGTCAAAATATCAACATTTATAGGAGTTTGAAGAAGTTGATTCTAATCCTCACGGATGACTTTGAAGATTCAAGATTTTAGAAAATAGATGTAAATGGCATGGAAAGAACAAGAGAAAAATAATTAGAAGTGGAGCCTGAAGATGTGACCAAATTGTATGAATCTCATAATAAAACTTTAACAATTGAGGGGTTGTTCCTTACGGGTGAACAGAGAAAGTGGTATCTTGAGATGCTTACAGATGAGCAAAGAAGTGGTTTCATATTCATCTCCTGGTGAAGATGGTGTGAACATTGTTAAACTGACAACAAATATTTACAATATTACATCAACTTAATTAACTAAGCAGTGGCAGAGTTTGAGAGGATTCACTCCAACTTTAAAAGTAGTTCTACTGTAAGTGAAATGCTATCAAACAACACTGCATGCTACACAGAAAACTTTCACGAAAGGAAGAGCCAGTCGATGCATCAAACTTCATTGCTATTTTACTTACCACAGCTGCCCCAAACTTAAGCAACCAACACCCTGATCAGCCAGCAAGCATCAACATTAAGGCCAGCAGAAAGATTATAACTCATGGGAGGCTTAAATAATTATTAGCACGTTTGTAGCAAATAAGTATTATTAAATTAAGATGTAGTTTTTAGACATTATGTTATTTTACACTTAACAGATGACTTTTATATTCACTGAGAAATAAACAAACAAAAATTATGTAACTCACTGTAGTGCCATGGTCTGGAACCAAACCCGCAATATTTCTGAGGTATGCATACATTTGATAAAGGACTAGAACATTTGTACTGCAAAATAAGGACTAAATCAATGTTAGTTTATAGCTTAATTCAAAGTTACCTTTGTACAGACATATATACTAGAATCTTCAGAAAAACTTGCACTAAAGTCCTTAAACTTTTATCAGCTAAAAGCTATGAAGCATTTGATGATACGTAATTTCTTTATTTAAAATAAATATAATGCAGTCTCAATTTTTTTTTGAGTTATCACTTCTTTACTCTTAGAGTTAATAAAAAATAAAGTGGAGACAATATGCCAAATATCATTGACTTTGATTAGATTTGAAAATACTGTCAAACACTGATCTTTTATTTTCTCAGATCTCACTCATACTTTATCCTTTCTCTCATGGTGAAATAGATTAAGATTTTGATGACATTTCTTCAAATGGAGAACAGATGAAAGCTATTGATCAAATGCACAGAACTACAGATCTAGATGTGCTGGAAGTTGTTATATCTTCAGGTACTTTATTTAACAGTGCCTGATTGTGTTCCAGCTACTTTTATAAGATGTTTACACTTAGCTTCTCGGAAGTTTTGATATTGTCCTGCTATAAATACAGACATGTATACACACTTTGAGATGTATATCAGATGTATGTGCATGTACATGTCTGTAAAAATAATTGTCTTTAAATGTATACATATATTTATATTTTTGCACATATTTATCTATGAGATCTTCCTTAAATACATCACATTTGCTTGGTAAAAGAATAACCTATATTATTAGAATATAATGTGTATAAGTATTCAAACGCTGTTTGGTTATGTGACACAAAATTTGCAAATTGGAAACAACCCTAGTGAAACATAGTGCTTATTCTTCATTTATATGTTCAATTTTATTTTTAATATGTCAAAGACTTTTGTTGCATTCATTATTTTCTAAATTCTGAAATATATTAAAAAGATAAACATTTTAAGTGCAACTTCAGTTTCACAATGTCAAACTGTCTTTGAAAAATAATTCGTTCAAATATCTAGACAAAATAATTTATACAGTAAACTGGGGGTTCTGCCATTTAGTCTCATAGTATTTTTTAAACTGATTTCCTCAACAAAAAATCAAGTCTTGTTTCAGAAAAAGTGAAAAGGGAATTATTGCCCTTGGAAAAAATTAGAATATTTTATTTATTTTGTGTATTGCGTATATTTTTTACTTTATATCCAATTTTAAATAAAACAACATCTAAACAATTTTCTATGATGTGAAAAATTTAGATTTTAAAATCTATACATTTCAGATATTTGACATTGATTTTCTTTCATCTCATCTCGCTTCTGAGTGTGCACATTATTTATATATATTAATATTAAACATGCTTAGCTACTTTTATTATAATCAGGGACATTATGCTGTCTTTTATTATCCTTTAAATAGAAAATACATCAATTTTCTATTATTGAATATTTTGCGAAACAATCTTTGCATCTATGCTAATTAAAATTTTAGAGATGGAGCCAAGATGGCCAAATAGGAACAGCTCCAGTCTACAGCTCCCAGCGTGAGCAACGCAGAAGACAGGTGATTTCTGCATTTCCAACTGAGGTACCAGGTTCATCTCACTGGGAGTGTCAGAAGCTAAAAAACTTGATCTCATGGAGTTAGTGAATAGAATGGTTGTTACCGGAGGCTGGAGACAGAAGTGGGGAGAGATGGATGAAGAGGTATTGGTTAATGGTTACAAAAATAGTTAGATGGAAGGAATAAGGTTTAATGGTTATTCGCACAATAGGACAAACTGCAGGCAAAAATAATTTATTATATATTTTTAATAGCTAGAAATGAAGATTTGAAATATTTCCAACACAAAGAAAGAAATGTTTGATGTGATGGATATTTCAATTACCCAGATTTGATAATTACACATTGACTGCATCTATCAAAATGTCACGTATACCTTACAAATATGTAAAATCATTATGTATCTATAACAACTAAAAATAATTACAAAAGAAAAATAATATTTGGGCTATGTCTTCTAATTTTTATATTCATTGTTATGTGCAAAATACTATTCAAAGAACTACATATTTCTATTCATAACAATTCAACTCTCATATTCACTATATTTTAAGGCCATTTTTAACTATTTCTGAAATTGAAATTATTTTGGCTTTGTGTAGCAATTATTCAATCCATACAGTACTTCAAAGATCATTTATATACCTACACATTTCTTTAATAAATAACTGTTTAGTAACAATATGCAGAAAATGCTGATTTACTTGTAGGGAGATGTAAAGATGAATCAGAGGTCAAAGTCTGCCTTCAAGCAAAGTCTATATTTTAGTGAAGAAATACCATGTATTTGTTCTAAAATCATAAAACAAGACATGTTAAGTGCCATGAAAGCAATGTTAATAAAATTTGAAGTAATTTACTAAATAAATAAATCTAAATAGAAAAACATAATGTAATAATAACTGAAGATACAAAAAATACTTTGACTTTTTGATTAATAATAATTATACACTGACATGAAAGAATACTTTCTTAAGATGAAATACATAAATACGTCCAAAACCCAAAGACAGTTTTACTGTAAATAAGAGTAGAAAAAATAAGCGAGAAGTTTTTCCAGTATCATCAGGAAGTCCACTGGCATCACCATAATTTACAATTGACTCATAGCTGCTATGCAATGCAATTAGACAAAATAAGAAAATGTTTAAAAAATCAAAATGTATTATATGATAAAGACTCACCCTTAGAAGATATAAAATGCAAATGATAACTTGGGAAGAAAAAAACTGCAAAATAAGTTTACAGAAAAAAGCTTCAACTTCCTTAAAATATGAAGACTTTTATAAAAAAATTAAGTACAATAGAAGAATGGAAAAAGAATAAGCTGTTCACAGTAAACAGAATTAATATCTTCTAAACTCTGTAGAATTTTCAATGGTCCTAATAACAAACGAACTGTGAAATAAAACTAAAATTAGATACCATGTTTTCCCATAGTAGCTTGTCAAAAATCAGACAATTTGATGAGGCATGGTTCATGACAATAAGGAGAACAAGTACTCTCATATTTCTGAGAGTAGTGAAAATATATACCACCTTTATGTACAGCAGTTTAATTAATATATCAACATTTGTAATACACATAACTTGATCCATCTTTTAACAACTTTGTTATAGCATATATATGAATTGATGAATGCACACGGATTTTCTCTGTAGTATCTGGTTTATAATAGCAAACAGATGGAAATATTCTGTATACCAAAAATTGCAGGCAAAATAAATAAAATATAGTACATATTTATAGTCGAATTCTATATAGTCCTACATATGTACATGTGTGAAGAGACCTCATTTTAAATCAAATATAACTATAATACTACCTGCAGAACTTATTTTCTTCTTGTTGGGAGGGGAGCAGGGCCATTACAATTGAAATGAGAAGTAAGGCAGTGTTGAAAGTAGTGTATGTCTGTCTAGCACCAGCATAAGTTGGTGTAAAATTAAAATATCAATTTAACACTACATTCGTTAGCTTATGGAATGTCAATTAAACACAAGTTTTAAATTATACTTATCATATTCATTTGCGTGGCAGCTAAGTAGTAATAAGATATTAAAGAAGTTATGTATTTAAGCAGAATGCTTACAAAGGAAAATAACTTCTGCAATCTTACAATAATGATGAATATAATTTAAGGGTCATGTATAGTGCTAAATAGATAAATTTCATACACCATTATTTTATATGTTATTTTGACACATCAATCTTTCATTACTACTCAGTTAATAAATATATCCTGTTGGAGAAAAGAATGATTTTTATCTACACATGTTCTAAAGCTCACACAGGCTATAACTATAATTAAATTATTTTATTTATACTTTTAAATGTTTATACCTATATATGCTACAATTAGACTTAGATGTAATTTTGAAATTTTAAGGACTACATGTACATTTTAGTTAGAAGTTATAGGTATAAATACTTTAAAATCTGCACAATATGTTTAAAACCAATTTATCTCATTTTATTGTTTTTTTAATTTCATGCTTTTATATTTATCTTAGAAAACAAAGAATTGATGTTGTTTACCATGTTTTTTACCCATTATTAGAAAATTGTAAACCAGTTGAGGACACTAAATAGATAGGTAACTTGTTAGTAAATGCTTGGAAAGATGCAGAGGGTATGGACTTCCTTTAAAGCAGTACTTCCACAGGAATATAATGCTAGACAATTAATAATTTTCCAGCACCAGGCCTAAAATTCTCTTTCATTTTTAGAGAGCAAGGTTGCTCATATACCTAGGTTGGCTAGGAACAAAGGATGGAGACACTTAAAAAGATGACTCTTATAAGATAAAAAAATTTTTAGCAGATATATTTAATGTTTTACCCATCCAAAAGATACAGAAAAGAGCAAACCATTTTCTTCCTAAGGTGCCGTAACTTACAGTGGAGCCTTATCTAAAACACCTGTAGGTTGGGGATTCTAGTTTTACTACTATGTAAATATATGACTGGAAATAAGATTCTAGAACAAGAACAATGACTTAAATCAAAAGTAAGCAGATATAAATAAATAATAGAAGTAAGAAGAGACATCAGCCTGGCATGGTGGCTCACGCCTGTAATCCCAACACTTCGGGAGGCCTAGGAGGGCGGATCACCTGAGGTCGGGAGTTCGAGATCAGCCTGACCAAGGTGGAGAAACCCCGTCTCTACTAAAAATACAAAAAATTAGCTAGGCGTGGTGGCGCATGCCTGTAATCCCAGCTACTTGGGAGGCTGAGCCAAGAGAATCGCTTGAACTCGGGAAGCAGAGGTTCTGGTGAGCTGAGATCGTGTCATTGCACTCCAGCCTGGGCAACTACAGTGAAACTCCGTCTCAAAAAAAAAAAAAAATATATATATATATATATATACACACACACACACACGTATATATACGTATATATATATTTGTATATATACATATATATATACAAAATAGGCAAGGGAGCAAAAAACTTTTAAAAAGCCAATAAAACTGATAAAATTCTAGCTAGATAAATTAGACAAAACAGAACAAAAGCATAGGTTATAATTATTAGGA
This sequence comes from Homo sapiens, assembly GCF_000001405.40. Lineage (NCBI taxonomy): Eukaryota > Metazoa > Chordata > Mammalia > Primates > Hominidae > Homo > Homo sapiens. The sequence continues at coordinate 103,585 of NT_187536.1, read as the reverse complement.
ATGAAAATGGGACATCATTGTAGTTCTCTATGCATTAAAGACTTAAATAAAAATAGTATAAACAACTTTAAACAATAAATCGTAAATCTAACATCTTAAACAAAATGGACAAATTCCTTGATAGTCACAAACTACAAAAGCTCAATCAAGAAGAGATATATAACTGGAATAGCCCTATATCTAAGATAAGAAATTAAATTTGTATCCAAAAAAGTCTCAAATGAAAATTGTAGCCACAGATGGCTTGACTGGTGAATTGTGAAAAATGTTAAAGAAGAAATAATACAAATTCTGAACATAGTTCAGAATGTTAACAGAACATAGAAAAAGACATCAGCATTACTCTGACACTAAAACCAGAAGAAGACATTCCAAGAGACAAAAGCAGGAGATACATATCCCTATAGAACACAGATATAAAATCTTTAATACAATTTTATGAAGAGACAATATAATAATCAAGTATGGTTTATCCTAGGAATAAAATTTTTATACCACATTATAAAGTGAATCAATGTAATCAGTTACATTAAACTATTTTTAAATGAAAAATCATGTGATCATCTCAATAGATCCCAGAAAACAAATTTGAAAATATTTCTTACTCACTTGGTTTAATGGCTCTCAGAAAACTAGGAATATAAACAATTTTCTCAACCCGGTAGAAAGTATCTACACTTAATCAGGATTCACATTCTATTCACTGAGAAAGTTTAAAGTAATTTTTCCCTAAGATCTGGAACAAGACAAGTGAGTCTTTTCTCATCATTCCTATTTAATATAATATTGGATGCCCTACCCTATATAACGCAGAGAAAATTCATAAAAATGTTGAAAATCGGCCAGGCGCTGTGGCTCACGCCTGTAATCCCAGCACTTTGGGAGGCCAAGGCGGGTGGATTACCTGAGGTCAGGAGTTTGAGACCAGCCTGGCCAACATGGTGAAACCCCATCTCTACTAAATAAACAAAAATTAGCCAGGTGTGGTGGTACATGCCTGTAATCCCAGCTACTTGGGAGGTTGAGGCAGAAGAATTGTTTGAACCTGGGAGGTGGAGGTTGCAGTGAGCAGAGATCAAACCACTGCACTCTAGCCTGGGCAACAAAGCGAGACTCAGTCACAAAATAAATAAATAAATTATTTTTTTAAAAAAGTTAAAAATTTTTAGACATTTTCAAAATTTACTAGAAGTAGTAAGAGTTTTCAGGACTATATTTAACAAGTAAATATATTTATTTACACTGACAACACCCAATTGGGCATTAATTTTGGAAAAAATTGTGTAATATATCATTAGGATATGAAACATTTAAAGATAAATTTAAGAAATTATATTCAAAAACTATACACTGAACTGAAATTTGCAACCTGTAGACTGAAAATATTACTGTAAAAAATTAATGGTGATTATACTGAAGATGCGAGCATGTCATGGACTCAAAGACATTACAATTGTTATGATAAAATGTGTACTGGTCTATAGATTCAAGACAATTTCAATTACTATTCTAACAGAAGGCTTTCTAAAAAGAAATTTGATTCTGAAATGTATATTAAAAAGCCAGGGAATTAGAATAAGCAAAATAATTGTGAAAAATAAGATAATAGATAACTTACATTTACCTTACTGCTGTAGTTAGAAAGACAGACTTATATTTGTATAAAATAAACATACAGATTAGTGGAACAAAGTAACAAGACTAACACGTATGATACACTGATTTTTGACAAAGCTGACAAGTGGATTCAATAAGAACAATATAGTTTTTAAATGCATGGTGTATTCAGGGATTCAGCTTCTTCCTGGTTTAATCTTGGGAGGGTGTATGTGTCCAGGAATTTATGCATTTCTTCTAAATTTTATAGTTTATTTGCATAGAGGTGTTTATAATATTATCTGATTTTTTTTCCCTTGGGCTCAGTGGTGATATCCCCTTTATCATTCTTTACTGTGTCTATTTGATTCTTTTCTCTTTACTTCTTTATTAGTCTGGCTAGCAGTCTATTTTGTTAGGCTTTTCAAAAAAACAGCTCCTGGATTCATTTATTTTTTGATGGGTTTTCTTGTCTCTATCTCCTTCAGTTCTGCTCTGATCTTAGTTATTTCTTGTCTTCTGCTAGCTTTTGAATTTGTTTGCCCTTGCTTCTCTAGTTCTTTTAATTGTGATATTAGGGTGTTGATTTCAGATCTTTCCTGCTTTCTGACGTGGGCCTTTAGTGCTATAAGTTTCCCTCTTAACACTGCTTTAGCTGTGTCCCAGAGATTCTGGTACATTGTGTCTTTCTTCTCATTGGTTTCAAAGAACATATTTATTTCTGCCTTAATTTTGTTATTTACCCAGTAGTCATACAGGAGCAGGTTGTTCAGTTTCCATGCCTGAAATTGGAACAGTATTAATAGCCTACCAACCAAGAAAATGCCCAAGACCAGTTGAATTCACAGCCGATTTCTACCAGGGATACAAAGAGGAGCTGGTATCATTCTTTCTAAAATTATTCCAAACAATAGAAAAAGACGGACTCCCCCCTTACTTGTTTTAAGAGGCCAGCATCATCATGATACCAAAACCTGACAGAGACACAACAACAACAAAATGTCAGGCCAATATCCTTAATGAATATCAATGCAAAAAATTCTCAATAAAATACTGGCAAAATGAATCAAGCAGCACATCAAAAAACTTATTCACCACGATCAGGTAGGCTTCATCCTTGGGGTGCAAGGCTGGTTCAACATATGCAAACTGAATAATGTAATCCATCACATAAACAGAACCAATGACAAAAACCACATGATTATCTCAATAAATAAAGAAAAGGCCTTTGATACAATTCAACAGCCCTTCATGCTAAAAACACTCAACGAACTAGGTATTGATAGAATATATCTCAAAATATTAAGAGCTATATATGACAAACCATAGCCAATATCATACTGAATGGGTCAAAGCTGGAAGCAATCCCTTTGAAAACTGGCACAAGACAAGGATGCCCTCTCTCACCACTCCTATTTAACATGGAATTGGAAGTTCTGACCAGGGCAATCAGGCAGGAGAAAGAAATAAAGGATATTCAGTCAGGAAGAGAGGAAGTCAAATTTTCTCTGTTTGCAGATAACATGATTGTATATTTGAAAAACCCCATTGTCTCAGCCCAAAAATTCCTTAGGTTGATAAGCAACTTCAGCAAAGTCTCAGGATACAAAATCAATGTTCAAAAATCACAAGCATTCCTATACACCAATAATAGAGAGCCAAATCATGAGTGAACTCCCATTCACAATTGCTACAAAGAAAATAAAGTACCTTGGTATACAAATTACAAAGCACTTGAAGGACCTATTCAAGGAGAACTACAAACCACTCCTCAAAGAAATAAAAGAGGACACAAACAAATGGAAAAACATTCCATGCTCATGGATAGGAAGAGTCAATATCATGAAAATGGCCAGACTGCCCAAAATAATTTATAGATTCAATGTTATATCTATCAAGCTACCATTGACTGTTTTCACAGAACTAGAAAAAACTACTTTAAATTGCATATGGGACCAAAAAAAGAGCCCATATAGCCAAGACAAACCTAAGCAAAAAGAACAAAGCTGGAGACATCACACTACCTGACTTCAAACTATACTACAAGGCTACAGTAACCAAAACAGCATGGTACTGGTACCAAAACAGACATATATACCAATGGAACAGAAGAGAGGCCTCAGAAATAACACCACATATCCACAGCCATCTGATCTTTGACAAGCCTTACAAAAACAAGCAATGTGAAAGGATTCCCTATTTAATAAATGGTGCTGGGAAAAATGGCTACCATATGCAGAAAACTGACACTGGACCCCTTCCCTACACCTTATAAAAAAATTAACTCAAGGTGGATTAAAGACTTAAATGTATATCCTAAAACCATAAAAACCCTAGAAGAAAACCTAGGCAATACCGTTCAGGACATAGGCATGGGCAAAGACTTTATGACTAAAACACCAAAAGCAATGGCAACAAAAGCCAAAATTGATAAATGGGATCTAATTAAGCTAAAGATCTTCTGCACAGAAAAAGGAACTATCGTCAGAGTGAACAGGCAACCTACAAAATGGGAGAATATTTTTGCAATCTATCCATCTGTCAAAGGTCTAATATCCAGAATCTACAAGGAACATAAACACATTTAAAAGGAAAAAAGAAAACCCCATTAAAAGTAGGTGAAGGCTATGAACAGACACTCCTCAAAAGAAGGCATTTATGTGGTCAACAAACATATGAAAAAAAGCTTATCATCACTAGTCATTAGAGAAATGCAAATCAAAACCACAGTGAGATACCATCTCACACCAGTTGGGGACACCTTCCCTACCAGCCTGAAGCATGAAACATCAAGCCAGCAAATGAAATACTGGGGGAAGAGAAAGAAATAAATAAGTGCATGCCACAGGGAAACAAGATAAGCTTTAAGAGACCTCTACCATTCCAACCCCATAAGAGACAGTGAACTTATTTACACACTGAACACATTTCTACAACAACCAGCATATGAAAAAACTATCATACAAAGACTCTCAATAACCAAGGAACTCTTACAGAGTCTTCATCCCTGAAAGCACCAAGTACTGAATTAGGCTATAATTAACTATAAACTAATATTAGTGTCTCATCTTTAAGGAAAAAAAAATACAAAGCAAACAACAACAAAAAAAGAAACACAGGCAAATCATACATAAGTTCAATAATAATTAGAAGAAATAGTCTACTCAAATGAGAGGGAACCAGAAAATTAACTCTGGTAATATGACAAAACAGGACTCTAATAACACCCTCAAAAGATCACACTAGCTCTCCAGCAATGGATCCAAGCAAAGATAAAATCTTTGAAATACCAGATAAGGAATTCAGACAGTTGATTACTAAGCTACTCAAAGAGATATCAGAGAAAGGTAAAAATGGAAACTGTATAAGGAAATTTTTAAAAGAAGCTCAGGATATGAATAAAAAATTTTCTAGAGAAGTTGATATAATCAAGAAAAAACAATCAGGAGTTCTCTAAATGAAAGATACACTTAAGGAATTACTAAATACAGTGGAAAGCTTGAATAATACATTAGAACAAGTAAAAGAAAGAATCTCAGAGCTTGAGGACAAAGTTTTTTTAATTAACCCAATCAGACAAAAATAAAGAAAAAAGAATTTTAAAAAAGTCTCCAAGAAATAAGGGATTATGTAAAATGGCCAAACTTAAGAATAATTGTTGTTTCTTAGGGAGAAGAGAAAATATTTATGGAAAACTTATTTAAGGAAATAATTGAGGAAATCTTTCCTGGCCTGTCTAGAGATCTGGATAACCAAATCCAAGAAGTTCAAAGAATTCCTGGAAAATTCATTGCAAAAACGTCTTCAAAAAAGGCATACAGTTATCAGGCTATCTAAAGTCAACATAAAGAAATAAATTTCAAGAGTAGAAGCCGAAAACATCAGGTAAATTCCAAAGGAAAACCTAACAAACAGCAGAGTTCTCAGCAGAAACCTTACAAGCTAGAAGGGATTGAGATCCTAACTTCAACAACCATAAAGAGAACAACTGTCAGCCAAGAATTTTGAATCCTGCAGAAACAAATTTCATAAATGTAAGAGAAATAAAGTGATTTTCAGACAAACAGATGCTGAAGGAATTTGTCACTATCAAAGTAGCACTACAAGAAATGCTAAGAGAAATTCTAAACCTTGAAACAAAAGTCCAAAATCCACCAAAATAGAAACTCTTGAAAGCTTAAAGCTCACAGAGCCTATATAACAGTAACATAATGAAAAATAATCTATCTAGGTAACAACTAACATGATGAAGAGAAAAATACCTCATATCTCAATATTAACATTTAATGTAAATGAGGTAAATGCTCCACTTAAAATATACAGAATGGGCGGGGCACAGTGGCTTATGCCTTGTAATCCCAACAGTTTGGGAAGCCAAGGCAGGTGGATCACCAGGTCAGGAGATTGAGACCAGCCTGGCTAACATGGTGAAACCCCATTTCTACTAAAAATACAAAAATTAGCCAGGTGTGGTGGAGCGTGCCTGTAATCCCAGCTACTCAGTAAGCTGAGGTAGGAGAATCACTTGAACCTGGGAGGCAGAGGTTGCAGTGAGCCAAGATCGTGCCACTACACTCCAGCCTGGGTGACAGAGGGAGACTCCCTCTCAAAAAAAAAATAGTAATAATAATTTAAAAAAAATATATATATATATACACACACACACATATGTATACATATACATATGTATGTATACAGAATGGTAGAACTGGTACACAATCACAATCCAATCCAAATACCTGCTGTCTTGAAGAGACTCACCTAACATGGGAGGATTTATATAAACTCAAGGGAAGAGCATGGAAAAAGATACTTTGTGCAAATGGATACCAAAATGGAGCAGAAGTAGCTATTCTTATATCAGACAAAATAGACTTCAAAGAAACAAAAGCAAAGGAAAAAAAAAGATGGCTACTATATAATGATAAAAGGATCAATCCAACAAAAAGATATTATAATCCTAAATTTATATGCACCAAACACTGGAGCTTCCAGATTCATAAAAAAAAATACTACTAGACCTAAGAAATAAGATAGACAACAAAACAAAAACAGTGGGAGACTTCAATACACCACTGACAACACTCACTAGACAGATCTTTGAGACATAATGTTAACAGAGGATCAATGAATTCAAATGACATGCTAGAACAAATGAACTTAACAGATATTTACAGAACATTTTACCAAAGAACTGCAGAATATATAGTCTTCTCATCAGCACATGAAACATACTCCAAGACAGACAATATGAGAGGCCACAAAATCAGTCTCCATAAATTTTAAAAAATCAAAATCTTATCATGTATCTTCTCAGATCACTGCAGAATAAAAATAGAAATCAACCCCAAAATGAACTCTCAAAACTATACAAATAAATGGAAATTAAATAATCTCCTGAATGATAGCTGGCTTAAAAATAAAATCAAACTGGAAATTTAAAAAAATCCGTTGAATTGAATGACAATAATAATACAAGTTATCGAAACCTCTGGGATACAACAAAAACGCAGGGCTAAGAGGAAAGTTTATAGTACTAAACACCTACATCAAAAAGTCTGAAGGAGCACAAATTGATAACCTAATATTTACCTCAAGGAACGGGAGAAACAAGAATAAACTAAACCTAAAGCTAGAAGAAGAAAATAAATAACAATGATTAGAGCAGAAATAAATATAATGCAAACATAAAAAAAAATACAAAAATCGATGAAACAAAGCTGGCTCTTTGAAAAAATGAACAAAATTGATAGTCCATTAGCTAGATTAACCAAGAAGAGAGAAGATGAGAAGATCCAAATAAGCTCAATTAGAAATGAAACTAGAGACATTACAACCAACACCACAGAAATACCAAAGATGATTTGAGACTCCTATGAACACCTTTAGACTCACAAACTAGAACACCTAGAGAAAATGAATAAGTTGCTAGAAACATACAACTCTCCCACATTAAATCAGGAAGAAATAGAAACCTTGAACAGATCAGTAACAAGCAGTGAGATTGAATCAGCAATTTAAAAATTGCCAAAAAACGCCAAGAACAAGATGGATTCACAGCTGAATTCTACCAGACATTCAAAGAATAACCGGCACCAATCTTACTGAAACTATTCCAAAAGATTGAGAAAGAGGAAATCCTCCCTAAATTATTCTGTGAAGTTAGTATCACCCCAATACCAAAACCAGGACAGAGCACAACAACAACAACAACAACAACAACAACAACAACAACAAAAACAAAAAACCTACAGACCAATTTTCCTGATGAGCATAGATGCAACAATCCTCAATAAAATACTAGCTAACTGAATTCAACAGCACATTGAAAAGATAATCCATCATGATCAAGTGGGTTTTATCCCAGAGGTGTAGGGATGGTTTAACATACACATGTCAACAAATGTGATACATCCCATAAACAGAATTAAAAACAAAAACCATATTATTTAAACAGATGCAGAAAAAGCATTTCACATAATTGAGAATCACTTTATAGTAAAAACTCTCAACAAAGTATGCATAAAGAGGGCCTACCTCAAAATAATAAAAACCACATAATGTTACACACCTACAGCTAACAATCATACTTACACGCCTACAGCTAACATCATATTTAATGTGGAAATGAAACTATAAGAATTCTAGAAGACAATATTGGAAAAACTTTTTTAGAAATCAGCCTAGGCAAATAATTTGTGACAAATTCCAAAAGCAAATAAAGAAAAAATAAATATATGGGACCTAATTAAAATTAAAAACTTCTGCACAGCAAAAGAAATAATCAGGAGAGTAAACAGACAACCACAGAATGGGAGAAAATATTTGCAAATTATGCATGCAACAAAGGACTGGTATCCAGAATCTATAGGGAACTTAAATAAATCAGCAAGGAAAAAACAAACAATCCCATTAAAAAGTGAGTAAAGGACATGAATAGGCATTACTCAAATGAAGACATACAAGTAGCCAACAAACACCTGAAAAAATGCTCAACCTCACTAATCATTAGGGAAAGGCAAATTAAAACCACAATGAGATATTACCTTACTCTTGTAAGAATAGCTATTATTAAAAAGTTAAAAAACAATAAATGTCTGCTGTGGATGTAGGGGAAAAGGAACACATATACACTGCTGGTGGAAATGTAAATTAGTACAACCACTATGAAAAACAATATGGAGATTCCTTAAAGAGCTAAAAGTAGATGTACCATTTGATCCAGTAATCCCACTCCTGGGTATCCACCCAAAGGAAAAGAAGTTGTTATATGAAAATGGCCTCCAAGAAAATGTTCTTATCCTTGTAAAATAATTAAGCACTAATATGTATATAGTATACACTAGTATTTACAGAGTAATATAATTATTATTCATAATATACACTAAAATTTAATGAGTCATCCTTTAAAATTGGAAACTATGATTAACATGTCAAAGTATTGTCTGCTTAAGTTAAAACTGACAAAACAGAAATTTTAACAGCAGTTTTTCAAATGTCTTAGTTAGGGATTATGTTTTTAAAATGGTAATGACATTAGGGTTCACAAGGCATAACTGCCCTTATTCTGCCTTTCTTTCAAATTCAGGAAACCCTGAAAGTGTTATTAAAGCTTACTAGCTCAGAGAAGAATTTCATCACTTTGGTTTTCCTTTAAAAGTTGCAGAAAAGTCATTTATTTTTATTATGTATCTGATGTTGCATCACTCAGAGATGTTCCTTTCCTGTTTCTTTTACTTTAGGAAACTGAATGTACAAATAGGTATATATCACGATAATGCCCAGCAATGCACTTTTTCTCAATGAATTCAGACTTCCAACAACAGATTCAAAAACAGAAGTACTTTTTATTAGCTTATATGCTTCTAATATTTTAAAATACCTTTAAAAAAGAGATAAAAACAATTTATTAATATTTTCTATTTCTTTGCTTACATTTTACATCGGATTTTATGTGTCGCCATCAGATCTTATGTGCTGAAATAGATACTAAAACATTCTTCAATTTGATCTTGTGTTTTTGTTTTTGGAAGAGGGAGAGGCAGGATAGAGAAATGGAGAAGGAAAGGAAGGGGGCAGGGGGAAAGAAGAGACACAAACAATTTAGAATTCACTTCTTTAAGAAGTATCCTCGACTGGGCGCTGTGGCTCATGCCTGTAATCCCAGCAATTTGAGAGGCTGAGGTGGGTGGATCACCTGAGGTCAGGAGTTCGAGACCAGCCTGACCAATATGGTGAAACCCCGTATCTATTAAAAATACAAACATTAGCCAGGAGTGGTGGCCTGCACCTGTTGTCCCAGCTATTCAGGAGGCTGAGGCAGGAGAATTGCTGGAACCCAGGAGGCAGAGGTTGTAGTGAGCCAAGATTGTGCCACTGCACTCCAGCCTGAGCAACAGAGCAACACACCATCTCAAAAAAAAAAAAAAATTAAAAAAAAAAAAGAATTATCGTCTACAAATCAAATTTGCACTGAAATTCATGAAACATTTGCATTTTTTATTTTATTTTATTTATTTATTTTGAGACAAGGTCTTGCTTTGTTGCCCAGTCTGGAGCGCAGTGGCACAATCACAGCTCATTGCAGCCTCAACCTCCTTAGTAGCTGGGACCACAGGTGCACACCACGACAATAGCTAATCTATTTTTAATTTAATTTAATTTTTTTTTTTGGAGAGAAAGGGAGATCTCACTATGATGCCCAGTCTGGTCTTGAACTCCTGGGCTCAAGCAACTCTCCTGCCTGGGCCTCCAAAGTGCTAGGATTACAGGCTTGAGTTACCATACCCCAAGTTTGCATCTTTGAAATGATTGCTTTTCCATGTGGGTATCTCTAATAGATCACAGAGAACATGTTATGTCATTCTGCCAACTTTAAATGTTTTATACCAACGAACAATATTCTCTCTGTTTTTAAATGTTATTTTTCTCTTCTCCACCATCTTGTTTTACGTTTTGTTTGGTTTGGTTTGATTTGGTTAATTATGAAAGAGACAGAAGAGTTATAATATAGCCATACTTAAATATACTGCTAACAGACTACATCACATTAGTTACCACTGTTAAATTTCTGCAGATATTATTTTTTAAAGAATTATTTAAGATGTAGTTATTCTGCATAGTGTCAACTATGCAGTATTTTCTTTAAAAAAGCCCAAAACCCAGTCAATAAAAATTATAACAAATTTCAGCTATATTTTTTTGTCATTATATTACCTTTCCCAGAAAAGAAAAAGTATCATCAAGCTGCAAGAATTTCAGGTCATTATCTAGTCTAATACTCACTATAGCAAGAATGCAACTGAGGGTCAGGGAACTTAAGGCACTTGCTCAAGATTATACAGTAAGTGGGCAAGTTTTTCGCAACAACAAAGCAGGGCTGCATGTAGAACTGTTCAAGCCTCTTTTCCCTTTCTGCTGACTCACTAGTTTTTCACATAAGGTCATGAATAAGTTAATTTTGTAAATTTTGTTATTTTGCCTAATCGTAGGTATGAGAAATGAGTGGAAAATAAGCAAAAACAGAAAACAATGCATATTCCTCATTGTTAATAGTGATTTTTTTAAAAACACTGAAGACCAATTGTATTATCCAACTGTACTGGGTTCTTTAAAAAGTGAAATATTCTTGTCAAGTTAATAACACAAAATTATAGCAATCTATTTAGGCATACATAAAAACTAATTAGAAAACAAAATTCATGGATTAATGATAAAATGACTATATTCAAATGACATTTTAACATAAATACACATGTAATTAGAAATCATCATCTGATTAGAAAACATAAAGGTAAATCATTATTTCTAATTATCTAGTAGCAGTAAAAAGAACAAATGTTGGGATCACTTAAAAATAATGGTAAAAATCTCCTGCAATAGACATATCCTTTAAAATGCATATATTGCAACTTTAAACTTTTTACTAATCACCAACAGTAAATCCAGATTAATAAAAAACCTTGTTTTGTCTTATTTTAAAAGTCCCTACATAAAATAACGACTAATTTAGAAATAATACCTATAAAATATAGCAAGTTCTTAATATTCAAGCTTTGGGGGAATTTCTCAGCTGTGTTCTACTGCCTTCTAAGTGAGTCACAGTTCTCTTCACTCTTCCAGGCTTATTGCAATAGACACAATGTACTTAAGATGAAATCCCCTTATTTAGTTTTGTCATCATAAAAATTTTAAATCCACTTGAGTAATAGAATCAAATAAGACACACACACACCCATATTTTATCAGTTCAGAGAAATTTGATTTGCTTGTAATGGTGTTCACAGAATAGTAAAATATACAAATTAAACTAGAGTTCATCACGTGTGGCATGTATATAAAAAGTAAAATTATACCAATGACGTATCAGCTGCTAACAGCATCCATCAAATTTCATTTGAAAAAATGATAATTGCTAGCATAGAACAGATGCTGTATTATGACTAACAGTAGTGCCTGGTTGCTCATTTATATCCAAACCCATGACCCAGAGATAATGGCAAGTTATTCTCTGCTCCTCACTTTGCGTATTTCAGAAGAGACACTGGAAACTTCTCATTGCTGATTTGAAGTATTGACGCCTCCTTTGAACTACTGTCAGTGCCTGAATTAAACATTTTTTCTTTATTTAGATACAGATACTTTTTTACTCATATTCTTTAAGAAATTGCTTTTCCAAAGTTTCTGATTCTGCAACAGATAAAAACCAACCAACCAAGCAACCAACCAAAACCAACAAATAAACGAAAAGCATTTAAAATCATTTCGTCATAATTAGCTGTATGTCCTTGTGCCACAATATGATTTCAAAATCCTCTATTAAAAATTCCTCACTTAGGCCGGGCGTGGTGGCTCACGCCTGTATCCCAGCACTTTGGGAAGCCAAGGCAAGCGAATCATGAGGTCAGGAGTTCGAGACCAGCCTGGACAACATGGTGAAACCCCATCTCTACTAAAAACACAAAAAATTAGCTGGGCATAGTGGTGGGCACCTGTAATCACAGCTACTCAGGAGGCTGAGTCAGGAGAATCGCTTGAACCTGGGAGGCGGAGGTTGCAGTGAGCTGAGATCGCACCACTGCACTCCAGCCTGGGTGACAGAGTGAGACTCTGCCTCAAAAAAAATTTTTTAAATTAAAAAAAAAATAAAATTAAATAAATTCCCCACTTAAAGCAGAGGTGAGGACTGAATTTATTCACATTCAAATTGTCTAGGTATTTTGGGGTGAAGTAATGAACATTTTCTACATAATTAATAATATATTTCACATGGTACTGGCCTTCAGAATAAGTCTCCTATGACATAGTTATTTAGTCTTATAGATTATCATAATTATTTTATCTTATTGGTATGGTCTTAATATAGATAAAGCTTTTAAATTCAGAATCCTTTCACAAGAATATATCCCTAAGAAGAATGCTTGCTTCATGAAGGAAGAGAGGGCATTTATTATATTAATAATATTTTTAGTCAGTATCACAATTTTCTTTAATGGAATAAAAACAGCACCAATATCACGTTTGCTATAATAATTAAGTGGACTGAAATGTGTAAACCGTCAGAGCAGTGTATTACACAGAGTGAAAGTGAATAAATGTTAACTAATTACCTCATATCCATTAGAAGCAATCTAGTAGCTGCAGTCTAAAATCAAGGACAGGTCTATGACCTAAGCTAGATTACCCACATATTCTCTCTGAAATTTGAAATTTAAGTGGCTCCTCAAATCCATTTTGTACATAACAAGAATAAAACCAGAGATAACTTTTAAAAGGTAACTGTGGTTGTCTAGGCAATAGATTGGGTGTATTTTATTCCTTAGAGAAAGGAATAAAAAAAAGTCACACAGTTTAGGATAAATCCAACAGGGTTGTAACAGGAGACCTAAGTGTTGGAGTGTTAGTATCACTGAAGCTCACTTGTTTTATAATGACCTCAAGTTCTTTAATCTCTAAATTGAGGTTTACAACAAGATTTCTTGAAGGTTTCTTTAAGTCCAGTGGTATTATATTTTACTCCCATAGCACTTTAAAGTAGCAATAAAAGATGAAAATTTCTTGAGAATGTATATTTATTTTCAAATTTCAATTGCAAAATTTTCTCTGTTAGATGTAACACTTAGAACTCCACTTGGCATGCTGTGATATTTGAAGAAAAAGATAAAATGTTTCCTAAAAATTACTTGAATGTTAGAAGCCATTGTTAGAATGAGCACAGTACCATTGAATACATCAACTAAGAATGGATGGTTGAATTAATATATGGTTTTAAAAATTCTGGCTGCCTAAACAATCAAGTCAAAATGGGTATATATCTTTATTTTCTATTACAATGTAATATATAGAACATATATATGTAATTATTTTATACTGATGAGCTTACATTTTGCATTTATTATTAAGGTCAGAAATAGCAACTAAAGTATCTTTCAAGTTCCTCTTGTGGTTTTGTACGAGTCAGAGAGAGAGAAATAAGCGAGAAGGGAGGAGAAAAGAAATGTTTTGGAAACTATAAGTGCAAACATTATTTAAAAATATGTTTCTTATTTTAATTGCTATGCCAAGGTCTTAGAAAGAATGTAATGCAGAAGACAGGTGAAAATATTGCATATTTAAAGGGTTTATATAGTGCACATTCTGGTAATTCAAGACACGAGACCTGTTAAACTTTAAATCAAAGTGAAAGACTTATCTTTTTGAACAGCCTAAATCTGTTGGAACAGAATTTTATTTGGTTCTTTTAACATATCACGTTTGTGTAGTCTTGCTTTCTTCATAAATTTTAATTACTTAATATTTTGTGTAGGTGAATATTTATGTTTTCCTAGTTATAGTGACTTGATTTAATTACAGAATAAAAGTTAAACATTTCCAATTCTAATTGGAAAGAAAAGGTGCATTGCATATCATAGATCAAATAATTTGAAATATATAAATTTTGCTTAAATAGCTAGGAAAATATCAGTCCATTGGACACAGGAAGATTTTGGAGTTTCCTGATTAAAATGTTTTACTCTCTAAAAATAATCAGCTTATTTCTGGGAATCTTGGCAAATATATCCAGAACCTTAACCTACTAAATGGATTGAGAAATTTTTACAGAACTTAAATCATTTAAACTTTGATTTGCATCAATACCTGGGAATCTTATTAAAAATACAGATGACAGAAACTCTGTTCCAAGAGACAGAATCACAATCTCTTTGTCAAAATTAAGATAATAGTAGAACAATCTCATAAGATTACTGTACAAAATAAGAGGTAATTCAAATAAATTTCTTTTCCCCAACTGAACCCTCAATATGTTAGCTGTACTATTAATGGTTGCTTTTATTACTATTAATATTGATGCACGCTAAAATTTTAGAACCATATGTTTACCTATTTTCTATTGTTCTTTAATAATAATAGGAATGAAAATAATAATTCAGAACCAATAATACTTCAAATGCATGTGTTTCTTTTTTCTTTGTTTTTCTAAGTTATTTCAGGTCATTGATAGATGATCCTAGTCAAAAAGGAAAAACATCTGCAATATGATGTATTTTGTTTTTCGATTAGCAAAAGCTGTTGATCACTTATAGAAATTGTGTTTATAGATCTGTATTTCAAAATTTGAACATGATTTATCTAGGTTTATATTATTAGATACTTCTGAAAAAGACTAGAAAGAAATTAGAAACTGAATTTCAGAATTTTCTAAAATATTTATAAAATCTTTCTTAGTGTTTGCATTTTTAATGATCAGTGCAAAATTACTATTATTTTTATTCTCATATGTGAGTGAAATTGTTTTCTTATTTTATAGAATAATATTTTTCTCATAAAATTTCTAGGACTTACAGCTGAGAGTAGCTTGATGAAAAGGATTTCTCTTATTTTTCAAAAATACTCTAGCTGGCATCTCTAAACTGACATAAAATTGTCATATGTGTTATTTTTCCTTTTACAAAGACTGGCCGTGTGTTAACTATGTGTTTTAGATATTATCAGAAAAAAATATTGATTAGTTCTTCAATTAACAGACCAAGAGAATAATCTCAGTTGAAGTCCTAAATATTTAAATAATAACAGTGTTTGTATTTGTGTATATCCAGTTCTCTTTTTAAAACTAAGAATTTCTGGACAGGCGCAGTGGCTCACGCCTGTAATCACAGCACTTTGGGAGGCCTAGGTGGGTGGATCACGAGGTCAAGAGATCGAGACCATCCTGGCTAACGCGGTGAAACCCCGTCTCTACTAAAAATACAAAAAAATTAGCCAGGCGTGGTGGCGGGTGCCTGTAGTCCCAGCTACTCGGGAGGCTGAGGCAGGAGAATGGCGTGAACCTGGGAGGCGGAGCTTGCAGTGAGCCAAAATCGCGCCACTGCACTCCAGCCTGGGCGACAGAGCAAGACTCTGTCTCAAAAAAACAAATAAATAAAAATAAAAAAATAAAAAAGTAAACAAAGAATTTCTTCATCTCATCTTCTACTTGAGATTTATTTATCATTTCTTTCTATCTCAGTTCCTTGTTATTGCAAAAATTACTTTGGAGTAAGAAATGTTAAATAGACGGACATGAAATCTGGACTTACCTAAGTTTTTAAAGTGTTAACTCCTAGCTTCTGGCTATATAATTAAACTACATGTAGTCATGATCAATGAAGCATAGCCACAAGCCTTTCCATGGTGTTCCATAGAAACTTCTTTTTCTTATCCTTTTATCATTTTAAAAAAGTAAAAAAAAAAATTGTTGAATACTTACTCTTTCATCGAACCAACTACTTTATGGCTCATTTAACCATATTATAAAACAGAAAATCATGTATTACAGGAGACATTTAAACATAGAAATTTTATAGAGCTACCAAATTTCACAAAACTTAGAGGCGGCTAGAATCCTACTTCATGTTAACTGATTCTAAAGCCTTAATTTTTCAATTTCAGTGAGTTACTGACTCGTTTTTATCCCTCCATGTTAAAATTCTTTACTAGACCTCATATAGGTTTCAGTACTTTAATCTGACTCCAGCATTATTTACAGGTGGCTGATACACAGTACATTAACATAACAGAGGGAAAGCTTGTTCCACATTTTTTTTAATTTTTTATATATATTTTTTATTATACTTTAAGTTTTAGGGTACATGTGCACAACGTGCAGGTTTGTTACATATGTATACATGTGCCATGTTGGTGTGCTGCACTCATTAAAAAATGCTCATCGTCACTGGCCATCAGAGAGATGCAAATCCAAACCACAATGAGATATCATCTCACACCAGTTAGAATGGCGATCATTAAAAAGTCAGGAAACAACAGGTGCTGGAGAGGAGAAATAGGAACACTTTTACACTGTTGGTGGGACTGTAAACTAGTTCAACCATTGTGGAAGACAGTGTGGCGATTCCTCAGGGATCTAGAACTAGAAATACCATTTGACCCAGCCATCCCATTACTGGGTATATACCCAAAGGAATATAAATCATGCTGCTATAAAGACACATGCACATGTATGTTTATTGGGGCATATTTTTTATAGACAAAATTTTCTTTCTTCTCCCAGTATTTGCTGCTGCATGGTATCTTCAAACACTCAAATACTAAGCAAACAGCCAACGTTTTCTTTTTTTTTCTTTTATCTTTTATCTTTTTTTTTTTTTTTTTTTTGAGATGGAGTCTTGCTCTGTCACACAGGCTGGAGCATAGTGGCGCGATCTCGGCTCACTGCAACCTCCACCTCCCAGGTTCAAGCAATTCTCCTGCCTCCTGCCTCAGCCTCCAGAGTAGCTGGGATTACAGGCATGTGCCACCATGCCCGGCTAATTTTCCACCACGCCCAGCTAATTTCCCACCATGCCCAGCTAATTTTTGTATTCTTAGTAGGGATGGGTTTTCACCATGTTGACCAGGCTGGTCTCAAGCTCTTGACCTCGTGATCTGCCCACCTCAGCCTCCCAAAGTATTGGTATTACAGCCATGAGCTACCGTGCCTGGTCAAGTTTTCATATCCTAATTCCCCCTTTACATTTCATTCAGTGCACTCTGTCTAAGTCGTATCCTCTCTTGTTACATATCTGTTTTGGAACCTTCTTCCAGACTGCTCCTCATTGATTCCTTTCCCCATACTCCACCACTCACATTGAACACACTGATAACAATTAGTCCAGAACTGCTTGTTATTTTTTGACCTTTATAAAGGCCTAGTCCTTCCATTTATTTGTTTTGACTGTGTGCTTTAAAATATTGTTTTCCTGCTGGAAGGTCATAAGTCGATTCTGATTTGATAACTCAGAATTTTTCCTCTGAATTTTGTAACTCAATGAACTTTTGACAATTGCAGTTCATCAAATATGTGCAAATGCTTCTTGACTTAAGAAGCTATTTCTATATCCATTTTTAATTTTATACTGAAATGTAGTCATGCTTGGGAATAATTTTGAAAATCATTACATCTGCCTAATTTTTACTAAGAACGGTTTGCATTGAATTCTTCCTATCCCCTTTCACATTGCCATGTTTCAACCTCTCCTATCTTTTATATAGACTGCTTTACAAAACTAAAGATCTGAATAAGTAAACTGACTCATAACCAAAGGGTTAAAATGTTCTTCATCCATCGAAGGTATCATTTGATTTCAAATTTCCAATGATACTGAATTTGTGGGGAAAAATCAGTTCAGAATGTTAAACATTGGCAATGTCCTTCTACCTGTTTCAGACATAAAAATGTTGGACAATTTAGTGCACTCAGGATTTTAACACTTTGCATTAGGTTGGACTCTATGAAACTTCCACTTTTATAGGTCAAAAGCAGTTCAATATCAGCTATTTCATATGTTTCAACCTGTATGACCTAATTCTAATGTCTTAATCTCTTTCTCCATCTACAACTTCACTTCAGGCACAACATTAAATGCCTAATGTCAGCTCTATAAGTTTATCTGGAAGTCCTGGAGGCACTGCATTAATTTATTTTAAAGCACAACAAATTATCACATATTTAAGGTCTTAAAACAATACTCAATTGTTATATCACAGTTCTGTAGGACAAAAGTCATGGCTGACTCTTTTGGGATTCCCATGTAAGATTCTCATAAAGCCATAATGAAAATAATTATTTGGGCTGGAATTCTACGTGGTGCACCTAGGGAAGAATTTGCTTCCAAGCTCATTTGTGATGTTGGCAGAATACAATTTCTTCTACTAGATTACTTTCTAGAGATCTATCTAGAGATCTCATCTACTGGATTACTTTCAGTAGAACCTTAACCTCTAGAGTCTGCCCATATTCGTGTCACATAACCACCTTCCTTTTTAAGCTAGCATCAAATTTGTATGCTTCAAATATCTTTGACTTCCCTCTTACCAATATCAGGAGTAAACTCTCTTCTTTTAAAGAGCTACATGATTAAAGCAGACCCACTCAGATAATCTTTTTAAACTATATAATATAACTAAATCATGGGAGTGAGGTCATATGATATTCGCAGGTTCCAAAAACATTCAAAAGAAAGGGGTTTTAAAACAGTGAGAGTCATTGGGTTCATTCTTAGAAGTTAATCTACCACAGCACTTGGCAATCAATATGTACAAAAGTGACATATTTACATCATCATCAATTCTATTGTTCCACACTTCCCTTAAGTTGGTAATATTATTATCAGACTTAATGACAGAATTATGGAAGTGAATCCTGACTGCTTCAACACTGTTTCCTGATTTTGATCAAGCCTTCACATTTACTATATCCTACACGCTTACTAGATATTGCGTAGAGCCATCCTCTTCTCTTCATTGTCACTGCTATTGCAATAATTCTGGCCCTCATCATTTATCCACCATATGATACCCCAACATATATTTACATTACTGCCAGAATAATGATCATGACACATCTCTCTTATAAGTGACAATGTAATGGTTTTCACTGATGGTGGGACAAGATTTAATATCAGAATGATTCTCAGATTTTTTCTTTTTCAAAATGTTTCTACCTTCATTTATTTAAATTATACTTTAAGTTCTAGGATACATGTGCAGAACGTGCAGGTTTGTTACATAGTTATACACATGCCATGGTGGTTTGCTGCATCCATCAACCCGTCATCTACATTAGGTATTTCTCCTAATGCTATCCCTACCCTAGCCCCCTGTCCCCTGACAGCCCCTAGTGTGTGATGTTCCCCTCCATGTGTCCATGTGTTCTCATTGTTCAACTCCCACTTATGAGTGAGAAAATGTGGTGTTTGGTTTTCTGTTCCTTTGTTACTTAGCTGAAAGTGATGGTTTCCAGCTTCATTCATGCCCCTGCAAAGGACATAAACTCATCTTTTTTATGCCTGCATAGTATTCAATGGTGTATATGTGCCACATTTTCTTTATCCAGTGTATCATTGATGGGCATTTTAGTTGGTCCCAAGTCTTTGTTATTATGAATAGTACCACAATAAATATAAGAGTGCATGTGTCTTTAGAGTAGAATGATTTATAATTCTTCAGGTATATACCCAATAATAGAATTGCTGGGTCAAATAGTATTTGTAGTTCTGGATCGTTGAGGAATCGCCACACTGTCTTCCATAATTGTTGAACTAATTTACTCTCCCACCAACAGTGTAAAAGCATTCTTATTTCCCCACATCCTCTCCATCATCTGTTGTTTCCTGACTTTTTAATGATCACTATTCTAACTGGAATGAGATGGTATCTCATCATGGTTTAGGTTTGCATTTCTCTAATGACCAGTGATGATGAGCTTTTTTCATATGTTTGTTGGCTGGATAAATGTCTTCTTTTGAGAAATGTCTGTTCAAGTCCTTCACCTCCTTGATGGGGTTGTTTGTTTCTTCCTTGTAACTTTGTTAAAGTTCCTTGTAGATTCTGGATATTTGCCCTTTGTCAGATAGATAGATTGCAAAAAATTTCTAAGATCTAAAATCGACACCCTAATATCACAATTAAAAGAACTAGAGAAGCAAGGGCAAACAAATTCAAAAGCTAGTAGAAGAGAAGAAATAAGTAAGATCAGAGCAGAACTGAAGGAGATAGAGACATGAAAAACCCTTCAAAAAATCAATGAATCCAGCAGCTGGTTTTTTGAAAAGATTAACAAAATAGACTGCTAACCAGACTAATAAAGAAGAAAAGTGAGAAGAATCAAATAGACACAAGAAAAAATGATAAAGGGGATACCACCAATAATTCCCCAGAAATACAAACTACCATCAGAGAATACTATAAACACC
Organism: Homo sapiens; assembly: GCF_000001405.40. Classification (NCBI taxonomy): domain Eukaryota; kingdom Metazoa; phylum Chordata; class Mammalia; order Primates; family Hominidae; genus Homo; species Homo sapiens. The sequence goes on along the minus strand of NT_187536.1, from coordinate 82,760 downwards.
TCTATGCAAATAAACTAGAAAATCTAGAAGAAATGGGCAAATTCCTGAACATATACACCCTTCCAAGACTAAATGAGGAAGAAGTCAAATCCCTGAATTGATCAATAACAAATTCTAAAATTGAGGCAATAATTAATAGCCTATCGACCAAAAAAAAATCCTAGAACCAGAAGAATTCACAGCCAAATTCTCCCAGAGGTACAAAGAGAAGCTGGTACCATTCCTTCTAAAACTATTCCAAATAACAGAAAAACAGGAACTCCTCCCTAACTCATTTTAGGAGGCCAGCATCAACCTGATACCAAAACGTGGCAGAGACAAAACAAACAGAAAATTGCAGGCCAATATCCCTGATGAATTTCAATGCAAAAATCCTCAATAAAATACTGGCAAACAGAATCTATCAACACATCAAAAAGCTTACCCACCACGGTCAATTCAGCTTCATCCCTGGGATGCAAGGCTGGTTCAACATAGGCAGATCAATAAATGTAATCCATCACATAAACAGAACCAATGACAAAAACCACATGATTATCTCAATAGATGCAGAAAAGGCCTTTGATAAAATTCAACACCCCTTCATGCTAAAAACTGTCAATAAACTAGATATTGATGGAACGTATCTCAAAATAATAAGAGGTATTTATGATAAACACACAGCCAAGATCATACTGAATGGGCAAAAGCTGGAAGCATTCCCTTTGAAAACCGGCACAAGACAAGTATGCCCTCTCTCACCACTCCTATTCAACATAGTATTGGAAGTTCTGGCCAGGGAAATCAGGCAAGAGAAAGAAATAAAGGATATTCAAATAGGAAGAGAAGAAGTCAAATTGTCTCTGCTTGCAGATGACATGATTATGTATTTGGAAAACCCCATCGTCACAGCCCAAAAACTCCTTAAGCTGATAAGCAACTTCAGCAGAGTCTCAGGATACAAAATCAATGTGCAAAAATCACAAGCATTCCTACACACCAATAATAGACAAACAGAGAGCCAAATCGTGAGTGAATTCCCATTCACAATTGCTACAAAGAGAATAAAATATTTAGGAATACAATTTACAAGGGATGTGAAGGACCTCTTCAAGGAGAACGACAAACCACTGCTCAAGGAAATAAGAGAGGACACAAACAAATGGAAAAACATTCCATACTCATGGATAGGAAGAATCAATATCATGAAAATGGCCATACTGCCCAAAATAATTTACTGATTCAATGCTATCCCCATTAAGCTATCATTGACTTTCTTCACAGAATTAGAAAAAACTACTTTAAATTTTATGTGGAATCAAAAAAGAGCCTGTATATCCAAGATATCCCATGCAAAAAGAACAAAGCTGTAGGCATCACACTACCTGACTTCAAACTATACTACAAGGCTACAGTAACCAAAACAGCATGGTACTGGTACCAAAAAAAGATATATAGACCAATGGAACAGAATATAGGCCTCAGAAATAACTCCACACATCTACAGTCATCTGATCATTGACAACCTGACAAAAACAAGCAACAGAGAAAGAATCCCCTATTTAATAAATGGTGTTGGGAAAATTGGCTAGCTGTACATAGAAACCTGAAACTGGACCCCTTCGTTATACCTTATACAAAAATTAACTCAAGATGGATTAAAGACTTCAATGTAATGCCTAAAACCATAAAAACACTTGAAGAAAACCTAGGCAATACCATTCAGGACATAGGCATGGGCAAAGACATCATGACTAAAACACCAAAAGCAATGGTAGCAAAAGCCAAAATTGACAAATGGGATCTAATTAAACTAAAGAGCTTCTGCACAGCAAAAGAAAGTATCATCAGAATTTCTACCCTCTTAACCCCATTCTCTTTATTCCTAGGTTCTTAATTCTTAAATGAAGTTCAAATTTCTCAGATCTTATAAGAGAGCCTCCATGACCTGATTCTTGTCTGCAGGTTCATTTTCTACTGCTCTGTATCTGATTTCCCTATTTTAATGTACATGTAGTTCCCAGATATTCTATCATATTTAAATTTTGCATTACTACTCATGTTTGCTTTCTTAGGATGCTCTTGGCTTCTGTTTTGTCTTATCTGATTAGTACTCATTTTTGGATACTTACCTCATATACAAACCTCTCACACACAAGCCATCATTAAATAATGATATGTGTTTATTATCTTTTTTTTTACTTTGATATCATTAACCACCAAATTTTCCAAGGAAAAAAATCACCTTATTTTGTTCCTCCAAGCATGACTGCGCCATTCCATTCAAATCGTAATCTCTTCTGTCTTGCCTTGAAAATGCTTTTCCAACCCTGCTGTGAAAGTTACCTTCATTCAAGCTGGTTTTACAAAAGCTACTTTAATTGTGTATTCACTTCTGATAGTTGTCAGAGTTAAGTTATTCTATGTAGGTCATGAAAGACTAGATATAAAGCTATTTTCAAGATAAGAAGGAATTTTGCCAAATTTTTACTCCATCATCATGCTAATGTCATGCTCTTTGCCATGCCTAGGTTGCCCAGCCATTTGCTCTTCAAGCTTGCCAAGACAACTTTAGAAAATACTATGAAAAATCTTCTATGTATGTATCTCTTCACTTTCCCATCACTTCTAATTTACAGATTAATAAAATTTCAAAGGATTTTGATGAGCATTTATGTTGCTATACATTCAAAGGAAAACATGTCAGATGCATTGAACTTACCAAGTGAAAATATACACAATTGACTGTAGTGTTCTAATAAATAGACTATTCCACTCAAATTCATGCTTTTTTTACTTCTTCCTTGCAATAACCACACAAAACCACTCAATAATAAAAGCAACAACAGGGTAATATTTAGCAATTTTATGTGACAAAAGAGCAACATCTGACATGTATCTGCCATATTTCATGGCTTAAATTATTTTTCTTTAAGTTTTTATGTGTAATTTTTTTTCAAAAGTTGCTTACCATTCAACATTTAGCATATGTACTTGTATTTAGGTGGTGTAAACTGCTTGTAATGAATTAAAATAATTACTTAATGTTACCCTTGGCTTGAATAAACTTCAAAGAGGTTTCCTTTTGACTATAAACCTCTGACCTCTCTTTTCTTAGAGCATTTACTTTAGAAACCTTGTAAATATTTTCTATGCTCCTTTCAAATATAGACAAATCTTTCGGGCCATTGCAGATATTAAACTAGGGAATGTCTTTCTTAAAGACCTGGGAGCCATCGTTTTGAAGTGAAATCGTGAAAAAAGATAGGTCTCTAATCTCCCAGTCTCAATGGAAGGGTAGGAGGCTCATTTTATAAGCCCCCGTAAGAAAATGCAGATGGCCTAATTACATTGACCAACCTCTTCACTAACATCCTTGTGCACCAGTACTTCTTATCTGGCTTACTTCAGGGCTTAAAAACTATCCCACATTTTGTTTCAACAGAATTGAGTTTAATCTCTCTCTTCTATTACAGCAGTCTCTCTTCCCTATTACATAGCCCTGAATTAAGTCTTCGTTACTCATTTAACTCCACCCAGTACAATTTTTCTTTGACAACTTTTTAACTCATTATAGTTTCATTAATCTGAAATAAAAATAGATTTTCTAATGTGTGACAAGAAGCAGTACGAAATCGAGTCTTCCTCCATGAAATAGCTATTTGTTAATTTAGTCAGCTTCTGATTTTATATAGAGCACTATAGCTGCAACATTTTTTCCATTTTTATATTTGTTTACTTTGATTTTTTAAAATTTATTTTATTAAGAATGATTATCAGTTTTGATTCCAGATTTTGCAATTATGAACTGATAACATTATAAAGTGTTCTCTGAGGTGGACTCCCAAAAGGGCCATGTAAAAGAGGCAAAAGGCAATCCTTTTAAGGAAATATAGGTATGTAGTCAGCATTAAAGCATTATCTAAACAATTAACTTTCAGAATATGCATCACAAGCAGAATACAAAATCAATGTACAAAACCAGCATTTCTATATGCCAACAGTAAACAAAACATGATTGATCAATAATCATTTGTTCTGGATATTAGCTTAGTTTGTTCTTTAATCATAAAAAAGTTATTTTAGAAATAGAATCCTCTTCATGTAAATGTTATAAGAAAGAGAAAAAATAGACAAATATTTCTTTAGAAAATAGTAGTACAGGCCATAAATAAACTAACTTTTACTATACCTTCCCCTAGATGATTGACAAAATCTGTTTTTTTGGTTTATAAAAAAATGTTTTATATCTAAAATTACGATTACTAAAATACTTAAAAATTCTTTTGTTATGTTTTTTCAAATATACTCAATGAAAATACTAAATAAATTCAAACTGTATGCTACATTTAATATGCTTAAAAATATTTAGAGCAGTACACTCTGATAAGTTGCATTTTAAATTTCCATATATCTAATGTGTGTCCGAGAGTAACTTACTGAATATCTTCAGACATAACTAAAGAAAACAAAACCTATGAGGTAAATATATCCTTCTTCCTAGTAGCAAGAGATATTTATTTTTTAAATAGAAAATAACAGAAGATAATAGAGGAAAGTCTTACAAAACATTTAGTAAACAACTCCAATTTTAAACAGAGAGACTCAACTTTGGGTTAAAAAGCCTAGACACCTTATAATAAAATAATAACTGGAAAAAATAGGTAAGACAGTATTAGATATTTCTAGATGAAGAGGTGATATTTAAATATTATTTACCATATGGCATCTTTTATTGTCCTATTTTCTTATTATTCACATTGTAACTGTCTTACTTATTACAAAAAGTAAAATGTATTCAAATATGTATCATAGTAAACTTTAAATGATGTCCTCTTAAGAGAGGGTATTTCTATATTAGCAGGAAGGCAGCAGAAAGGAGAAGTGGAAGGCCAAAATGAGTGGAGAGAACAAACTAACATAAGAAAGCTTAAAGCAGGAGAAAGACTGTGTAAGTGATTATAAAAATATTATGGCTAATGTATTTCATAATCCTTGCTGAACCCTATGTGTTTACATAAAATATATAAATTTTATGATGTTTTTCCTTCTCATATGGAGAACATGTTTTCTTCTTCTACTTCAATGAAGCTTTAATTTACAGAATTATATTTATTTTGATCTTGATCAGTCCTAAAATTTATCTACCAGTTTTAAAATCTTTGCTGTTCTTTAAAGAATAATATTGATATATTTCTGCTTTATCAGATTATTGCTCTAGGAACTTACTTTTTTTTAACTTGTGGGTTAAATAATTCATAGACTTTTTTGGTATGCTGATATTTCACCTTCACATGATGCAGTAAATGTGCGATCTAGCAGCAATATGCATCAGGCCTTCTTACCTCAAATTGAAAATTCAGAACAACAGAAACTCATGGTGTACTGTTTAAATATAAATGGATAAATTTTTCCATCAAAAATAATGTGTATACTTTGTTTCTTTTCTTTTTTCTCCGTGATATAATATAAGCCAACAAGATACTAGAATACTGATGAAAATATACATATTTCTAAATATTGTATATACAAACAAATATATATATATATGTCTCTGTGTGTGTATATACATGCAAGCATAAACACATCTTGTGAGTATTATCTAAATATTCCTCAGTGGATAAAGTAGAGGGGAATAGACTAAAAATTATGACTTTGCAACCATAATAGTTTAAAGAGCTATCATTTATCTCATATGTGACTGGCATTGATTATCAATCTATACATCAGTAGGGCTAGCTATATTCCCCAATAGTGTGTATAATAGGTGTTGATGGTGCAGAGTAGAATAGCTTTTTGACACATAAATTAGTTATGTCCTCTATAATCATTCAGACTCTGACAGCTCAAATGCTTATCTTAACAGAGATGACTTTGTTTTTGCCAGTAAATGTGTTCCACGTAAGAATTGCTGAAGGAAATAAAATATGTGACATTTCAATTTCAATTTCTAAAACAATGTTCTCATTCATTTTGCTTAAGAATTTGGGATATAGAGAGAGATTGGAAAGCTCAAAGATACAAAAACATAAATGCTGGTTTTACTTCAGCCTGTGTATTTTGAACATGTGCTTACCAGTAACAAGCATATTAAAAAAAGAATGTCTGCATAATTTAATATAATATTTTTAATCCTTCAAAACCTTGACTAAATATTCAGAGGTTGGAGTTCAAATATCTTCACAGATATAGAGAGCTTTTGAAATCTAGGAGTCAGTTAAGTACTTTAATTATTTAAAATAATCTGGGATTTTAAATAAAAATGATTGATTATTAAAAGATGACAATAATTATTGAAGATTAAATTTCTGGAAAGAAATTATGTAATTATTTAAGACTTAACCTTTAGAATAGTTAATGAGTATATTGAAGGAGAAAGAAAATTTAACGGGAGAAAAATATTATCTGATGCATGATGGTAAGCATTACAATTATAGAAGATTAATGTCAAGCAAAATACTCATTAAATGTATTTGATTTAAAAAATCAGTGATTATATATATAATTACTGATACATATATTATATATATATTCAGTTATATATATGTATATTCAGTTATATATAATATATACATATTCAGTTTAATATTATGGCTTACATGGCTTAAAGGTATTTGATTTAAAATATCAATGGTTTTATATGTATATATAATTGGTTTACTATCATGGCTTCATTTACTTATAATTTATTTCTTAGATTTTAAATTAGAAGTTAACACACACACAAACAAGTACATAAAACATAAAGCTACCATTTAATCAATACAAAGAAACAATTCATACACCCAGAACTTAGATCAAGAAAAGGAACACAGCAACATAAAAACCCTCCTCATGCATTATTTCCTCTTCCTCTCCAAAAGTGACCACAATTCAAAAATTCCAGCTATTAGTTACTTGTTTTAGAATTTTTATAAAAGCAAAATCAGAGGAATTGTTATCTATGCTATAGAGATCTGAAAAGTGTCCCTCACACCCTCACAAACAGAGGACAAGATAAAAAAGAAAAAAGTAAAGAAAAGAAAGGAAAAGAGAGAAAGAGAAATAAAGTGGAAGAGAAATAAAGTGAAAGAAAAAGAAGGAAAGAAAGAAAGAAAAGAAAGAAAGAAAGAAAGAAAAGAAAGAAAGAAAGAAAGAAAGAAAGAAGAAAAGACAGACGACAGTAAAGTGAAAATTAATGAATTTACTTGAAACAGTCAAAGAACTGAGGTAACAGGGTAAACAACTTACTCAAAATCTATGAAGAGATAGGGGCCTACAGGAGAAAAAGTATTCTGGCTTTTGTTTACTTGGAATGTACTCACGAACTATATAATCCATTAGAAAATTTAGCTTGAAAACTTTACAAATTGCTTAAAACAAAGTCTGTGGCATGAGAATGGAAAAGACACTGAGGGCCAAAGACACATAGTGGGATTCAAACCCCTTTATAGAATTTTCTTTCAGAAACCCTAACAAGCAATCACAGAGTAGATTGGAAAGCATTCTGAGAAAACATCTCCCATTATGCTGGCTGGACAAAGGGACCAGCAGCAACTGTCTCACTCTTACTCACCATCTTATCTCCTCTAAGTAACAAACCATTATTTGAAGGGAAAGGGTCAACAAAGCTATAAGCTTTCAACACTGGTGGAAACCCATTATACTTGAGAGAAGCAGGACAGGGGGAAAAATATATCTACTCTTGGGGAACAGGAATAAGTAGTAGGTCCAGAATTTTATCGGAGGAAGGAAAGTAACACAGGTGAAAGCCACACCTCTAAGACCCAAGCTCTCATGTCCACCAAAGATGTATTCAGAACATCAGAAACATCAGAAAAGAACCTTTTCTTTATTTTCTAATTCCTTGTTCAATTTTGATCATTTGTATTTTATTGAGAAAATGTCCATTTATTATAGTTTAACAAACGTATTGCTAGGGGGTTGCACATATATTTTCCTGTAATATTTTCATTTTTTATTATTTGAATATTTTATAATTTGCTAGTAAGTATCAAGTAAAAATAATATTTCCATATATCTATGACTGTTGAAATAGACAGATTTTCTCTGGAATACAGACCACAGGAAAAACATAAAGAAAATAGAGAGTAAAATTAAAACACAGCCACACTTCTCATTATGTAACACAAACTTTGACACTAAAAACCTAGGAGAAAAAAGGCATGCTCACCCTCAAGAATAAGATATATTCACCTAAATGTCATCCAGGGGTAAAAAAAAATATTTTGGTAATATCTCAGCTAGCAAATATTTTAGATGTTATAAGCATTATTATCTCTGTCATAACAAGTCAACTTATCAAACATAATAATGAAAGCAGTATTAGATATTACATGAAGCTTTCTCAAGAGGAAGAGGAAGAGCAAGATGGTAGAATAGAAACTTCCAACAATCGTTCCTTCACCATAAGGACGCCAATTTAACAACTATCTACACAATAAAGGAAGCTTCATAATAATAAATCAGGAGAGTACTCAAAGTACCAGACTTTAACTTCATATTGCTTAAAAAGGCACTGAATGAGATAGGAAAAAAAAAAAAAAAGACTGAATTGCTGATGCAATCTCTAGCTAATCCCTTGGCATAATAAGAAGACCATTTTTATGCATTGGGGAGGAAGAGAGCACGTCAATTCTAAGACACTGAGCTCAGTGTTTCACTCTAATGGCAGAAAGTAAAGCCAGGCTAAAATCAGCTAATACCTGCCCAAAGAGGGAGCATTTAAGAAAGAAGGGGAAGAAAATGCCACAAAACAGAGACAAGGACAAAATGGCAAGAGTAAGTCTTTACTTGTCAATAATAACATTGAAAGTACATGGACTACATAATCCAATCAAAAGACAAGAGTGGCTGAATGAGTTAAAAAAAGAGACCCAATGATCTGTTGCCTACAGAAAACACATGCCACCTACAAAGATTCACATAGACCAAAAACAAAGAGATTGAAAGGGATATTCCATGCCAATGGATCAAAAAATTTCAGGAATAGCTATGTTTATATTGGACAAAATAGATTTCAAAAGGGGCCAAGATGGCTGACTAGAAGTAGCTGCTGTCAGGGACTCCCACTGAGAAGAACGAAATGATGAGTGAACCCTGCACCTTCAGCTGAGGAATCCAGGTTCTCTAATTGGGACTGACTAGGCAGTTGACATGACCCATGGAGAGCAAGGAAAAGCAGGGTGGAGTGATGGCCTACCTGGGAGCTGCATGGGGCAAGGGGAGCTCCTACCCCCAGCCAAGGGAGGCAGTGAGTGATTGTGCTACCTGACCCAGGAAATCACACTTTTTCCACAGATCTGTGCAACTCGTGGATCAGGAAATCCCCTTGTGAGCCCAAGCCACCAGGGCCTTGAGTCTCAAGCACGGAGCTGTGCAGATACTAGGTGGCCACTTGGGTTCAATAATCGAAACATGGGGAAATCAACCAGGCTTGTGTCCTTCCCTTCAGGGCAACAAGTTCCCCCTTGCACAGGCAGGTCAAGAAGTGCCATTTGTAAGCCAGACACTACAGGCAAAAACCTTGAATGTCTGTTGTTCTATAGTACTATGGCTGAGCTGGCACTCAAACCACAAGATACAGTCATTCCCACCCTTCCCTTCCCTTTCCACAGGCAGAGGAGCCTCATTCCATGGCCGCCACCAGAAGAGTACAGGCCCACAGTACTTCCAGGCTACAGCTAAGGCCCAAGGGCTCTCTGGTGAATTTGTGGTGAATATTACCTGGTCTAGGACTCACACTTAATGACAGTAGGCTCCCCTCTGGCCCAGGGAAGGTCCAGAAATGACATCATAAAGTCAAGACCTTGAAATGGGGACTCAAGAGCCCTCTTGCTGCTCTACCCCTCTGTGGCTAATATAGTACTTACAGTGCAAAACAAATTCCCCTTTACTTTTCCCAAGCAGAAGGTGCCTCTCCCCATGGCCACCACAGTTGGGAATGTTCTGAGTCTCACCTGAAGCCAGGGAGTCTCAGAGTGTCACCCAAGGCCCATGGCATACTACCTTCATAGTGCTGTCAATACCCAGGGCTTTTTAATCAGCAGGTCATGGCTCCTGCCAGGACTGAGTTCTTTTCTTCAAAGCAGCACCTTCCCTTCTACCCCAGGTTGTGTCTAGAAATGTCATCTGGGAGCCAAAGCCTGGAATGGAGCCTCATCACTCTGACCAGTGCCCTGTCCTACTGTGACTGAGCTGGTATCCAAGATGCATGACAAAGTCTTCTTTCCTTTTTCCTCTCCTCTTCTCAAGCATAAAAATGGGTCTGTTTTGGCACCCTGAGCTGTGTGGCCTGGGTATCAGGGAGGGGTGGCACAAGCACTCCCTTAGCCACACTTGCTGTTGTTGCAGTAGGTTGCATGTCCTCATGTCCACTGGCTCTGAGCCCTGTTCAGCACTGGAACTCAACTAAGAGTTGCAGGCCTTGTGGCTTAGAATGCCTTTCGAGTTATTTAGAGCCCCACAGCACTTTAACCCATGGGGGAAAGGCTTCTGGGAATGGAAATTATGACCATTGCAATGGTTGATTCCCCTCTGGCTAGGGCTGGTTTAAATACTTTCTTTTTGGTTGGGTGCCAGCTGAGTTCAGATCAGTTTTGCTTTCTGTTGTGACAGGGAAGGACTGTGTTCAATGCAATGTTTCACAAGTGATGTACTCTCCCAAGTGCACAAATTCTCTCTCTGTGCCATGCGGTACCTGTCAAGGGATGAGAGAGGGATAGCATCAGCATTTCAAGATTGTCTTTTCTTCCCTCTTCAGTGCCTCTTTCAGTGATATAAAGTTAGAACCAGGTACTCTGAGTGCTTGCCTAATTTTGGTTCTTATGAAGGTGATTTTGTGTCTGTAGATAGTTGTTAATTTGTGTCTTTGCAATGGGATGATTAATGGAGCCTCCTATGCAGCCGTCATGCTCTGGTCTGCAAGCATAATAATGTTTTCACAAGGTAATCCTGGAAATGGCAATTACTAAATTTATAGAAGAATTCAAGTCACAATTTTAAGAGGTACACATATTTTTAAAAGAATACACATACACACACATATTCTCTCTGTATCTCTGTTTTTCTCTTTATAATAATATTTCTTCATTTTCACATGTCTGATCTACAATACAATTCCTATTGCCTTCTTTAAGGAATTACCATAAAGTAAGAAAGATAAGAGCTGGCTGTTTGAGGTTTAGTTCACTGCTTTTGCCTTATTCACGTCCGGCAAAATCTGTGCTTAAAAGTAAAATTGCGTTTGATTTTACAATTTGGTCTCATTTTTGAATCAATAAGCTCTTTCAATAAAGCTTAATCTATTTCTGGATCTTTAGGCCATCATACTTGGAATAAGAAAACCCACAAATTCAGAATGTACTTTCTATAGAATTTTAGCCTCTCTTTCTCGATAATTTTTAAAAAGTGTTTTGTGTATACGTTTTTTCAGCTTTCTCTAAATGCCGAATTCCCATATCCTACTCCTCCACACATACTTACATTTTTTTTTCTAAATTTAGTTTGATAGAAGCAACTGATTATATATTAAGTATCTTTATTAGTTGAATTAAAAGACAATGGGTGGCAATGGGATGTCAAGGAGAGTTATGTATTTAATCACCTTTTTTAATTAAAGTATTAAGAATTATCAGAGAAAGTGTGGAGCACTTTCAGACGGCAAAGTAGATCCCCTACAATGAAATATCACCTCACCCCAGTTAGAATGGCTATTATCTAAAAGACAACACATATCAAATGCTGGTAAGGATATAGAAAAAGGGGTACTCTTATGACTCTGTTGATGGGAATGTAAATTAATAGAGCCATTATAAAGCACAGTATGAATGTTCCACAAGAAAATGAAAAATAGATCTATCATACTATCCCACAATCCCAGTGCTTGGTATATATCCGAAGAAGGAAAATTAGTGTATTGAAGAGATATTTGCATTTCCATGTTTATTTCAGCACTATCCACAACATCCAAGATATGGAATCAACCTAAATGTTCATGAATTGATTAATGGATAAAGAATATGTGGTACATATAGACAATGAAATTACAAGGGAATTCTATTAAACCATAAAATGGATGGAATCTGTCATTTGAAAAAAAATATAAATTAGTTTGGAGGACATTATGTTAGGTGAAATAAGCCAGGCACAGAAAGACAAATATTGCCTGATCTCACTCACTTGTGGAATCTTTTATTTTATTTTATTTTATTTTAAAAAGATGTCATGAAATTTGAGAGTGTAATAGTGATTATCAGAGACTGGGAATAATAAAGGACAGAGGAGATTAGGAAATTTTGGTCAGGGAGCAGAATGTTACAGTTAGATAGGAGGAATACATTATGGTATTATATTGCATAGTAGGGTGGTTACAGCTAACAGTAATGCATTCCATATTTAACTTAACTAGAAAAGAGGATTTTGAATGTTCTCAGAACAAAGAAATGATAATTATTTAAGATTATAAACAAACAATTGCAATGATTTGATCATCATACAATGTATGCATGTATGGAAACATTACATTGTACCTATGAATAGGTACAATTACTATGTGTTAATTTTAAAAATTCTTATAGCTAATTTGCTTGCCAGACAGTGATGTCTTGTTCTTTCTAATCTTAATAGAAATTATAGTACAACAGAAATTCATTTAGAAACTTTGAAAACTTTGAAGAGGTTAAGAACATGTCATTTTATTAAATTGTTTTAGGCATAAATGACTTTTGGAAATGTTTTCTATGTTTGCATTTCTTCATATCTGCATAAAAATTGGTATTGCATGTTGTCATGTATCATCTTGACTTGCTTAAATAGATATATATGGAACTTTTTTCCTCGTCCTCATACAAAGTGGAATTGTCTCTTAGGTATTGACTGTCTGTCACATTTCATAGACTATGGCATCAATATCCAGATGTTGTGACATTTAATACTAATAATCAGTCATATATTTTCTTTCTAGTTCAATTCCAGTGAACAAACAAGTGCCACCACCCTCAAAAATAAACAATGATAAAATTTAATATTCTAGCATGTATACTTTTTATAATTGGTTTTCATAATTTTTGAGGTTCAAAATTAGTTATAACATACATTAAGGAGTTTATTAAATAATGATATAGTAAATATCATAAGATAACATGTGAAACTTTATAAAGTAAATATTCTAAGCACACAAATAATTTATATGTCACATAAACATTAAAAGTATGAATATATTCAAAGTAAATATTTCAAATTTTCAAAATTTAAGATTGTAATTGTTTTAACTTCAGGACCTTTAATTTGCTATGAGAAGCTCAAATTTTTGGTTTAAATAATTTTCTATGTCAATATTTATCTTATATTCCCATATTGATCCTTATAAAAGGTAAAACTAAGCAAGCTATGAGGTTAAAGAATGGAGTTTACATTACAGGTTGTATTAATTCTGTGATCTTGAGTAATGCTACAGCCTCATGACAGTGTTCACTTAAGAAATCACTCTATGGCCGGGCGTGGTGCCTCATGCCTGTAATCCCAACACTTTGGGAGGCTGAGGTGGGCAACTCACAAGGTCAAGAGATAGAGATCATCCTGGCGAACGTGGTGAAACCATGTCTCTACTAAAAATACAAAAATTAGCCTGGTGTGGTGGCACATGCCTGTAGTCCTAGCTACGTGGGAGGCTGAGGCAGGAGAATCACTTGAACCCAAGAGGCAGAGGTTTCAGTGAGCTGAGATCCCACCACTGCATTCCAGCCTGGTGACAGAGTGATACTCCATTCTCAATAAATAAAAAAAAAAATAAATAAATAAATAAATAACTTTACTTCAGCTATATGTAAATAGATCAGATAAGTAAAGAAATAATATGCATTATTTCCCTTTTTGAAGGTTACTAATTCCAAATCTTTTTTTTTTATTATACTTTAAGTTTTAGGGTACATGTGCACAACGTGCAGGTTAGTTACATATGTATACATATGCCATGCTGGTATGCTGCACCCATTAACTCATCATTTAGCATTAGGTATATCTCCTAATGCTATCCCTCCCCCCTCCCCCCACCCCACAACCATCCCCAGAGTGTGATGTTCCCCTTCCTGTGTCCATGTGTTCTCATTGTTCAATTCCCACCTATGAGTGAGAACATGCGGTGTTTGGTTTTCTGTCCTTGTGATAGTTTACTGAGAATGATGATTTCCAATTTCATCCATGTCCCTACAAAGGACATGAACTCATCATTTTTTATGGCTGCATAGTATTCCATGGTGTATATGTGCCACATTTTCTTAATCCAGTCTATCATTGTCTGACATTTGGATTGGTTGCAAGTCTTTGCTATTGTGAATAGTGCCGCAATAAACATACGTGTGCATGTGTCTTTATAGCAGCATGATTTATAGTCCTTTGGGTATATACCCAGTAATGCGATGGCTGGGTCAAATGCTATTTCTAGTTCTAGATCCCTGAGGAATCGCCACACTGACTTCCACAGTGGTTGAACTAGTTTACAGTCCCACCAACAGTGTAAAAGTGTTCCTATTTCTCCACATCCTCTCCAGCACCTGTTGTTTCCTGACTTTTTAATGATTGCCATTCTAACTGGTGTGAGATGGTATCTCATTGTGATTTTGATTTACATTTCTCTGATGGCCAGTGATGGTGAGCATTTTTTCATGTGTTTTTTGGCTGCATAAATGCCTTCTTTTGAGAAGTATATGTTCATATCCTTTGCCCACTTTTTGATGGGGTTGTTTGTTTTTTTCTTGTAAATTTGTTTGAGTTCATTGTAGATTCTGGATATTAGCCCTTTGTCAGATGAGTAGACTGCAAAAATTTTCTCCCATTCTGTAGGTTGCCTGTTCACTCTGATGGTAGTTTCTTTTGCTGTGCAGAAGCTCTTTAGTTTAATTAGATCCCATTTGTCAATTTTGTCTTTTGTTGCCATTGCTTTTGGTGTTTTAGACATGAAATCCTTGCCCATGCCTATGTCCTGAATGGTAATGCCTAGGTTTTGTGCTAGGGTTTTTATGGTTTTAGGTCTAACGTTTAAGTCTTTAATCCATCTTGAATTAATTTTTGTATAAGGTATAAGGAAGGCATCCAGTTTCAGCTTTCTACATAAACAGACCTGCAGCTGAGGGTCCTGTCTGTTAGAAGGAAAACTAACAAACAGAAAGGACATCCACACCAAAAACCCATCTGTACATCACCATCATCAAAGACCAAAAGCAGATAAAACCACAAAAATGGGGAAAAAACAGAGCAGAAAAACTGGAAACTCTAAAAAGCAGAGCGCCTCTCCTCCTCCAAATCTTATAAATAACTGCATCGTGCTTCAGTTACTTGATTTCAAAAAGGGAAAGAAAGAACTTGATATGTGTTCCCTTTACTTTTCCACCACTGATTAAAGTAAAGGATTATCTCTCTTCAAATTTAATTAATTTTTCAAATAGGCTAATGTTTTGTCAATTCACCTCTGTCTTTTTATCATCTTAAAATCAATCTAATCAAGTAGTACATTAATTTTCCTGGTAGGTATGTTGGATGGAAGGAGGGGATAGTGAGGAGATAAGGTAATGTTAGCTTCTGCAAAAATAATGTCACAAAAATCTGCTATGCACCACTAAGATTCCAAGCAGGTATTCCTAATTGACAAGAAGCCCTTTTCCAAGCTGTGAATAAAATACCCAGCATTAATCTATCCTTGCCTTCTCCACCTTAACATGTGGCTTAAAAGTTCTTTGTACTACTTTGCATACAGCTGTCTGATGGAAAAGAGAATTATATGATGATCAAACATGAATCATCATGTAAGTGGAACACATAATTTTTATTCACATTTCGAAGACTATAAAGTCATGTGACCACACTTAAGTGGAAGAGAAACTGGGAACTTTAGTCCAACTGTGTAAACAGAGCAGGAGGAAAACAGTAAAATGACCAGCTATTCAGTTTCCTCTCTGATTTTCCAGGTCGGTTTTCCAGACACCTTACTTCCCATATGGATAACAGTTATTTAATTTTTAAGGGACACTTAATCAATGAGAATAATCTAGGTTATGGTAACTAACAGACAATGGCAATATATCAGTGGCTAAATGCCATCAACATATATTTCTCAATCACAATACCTGCCCAACACAGTGCAGCAGAGGGCTTTGATTTCTGTGATTATTTACTAAGGCAGATAAATGAAATCTCCATTAGGGTATATACTTCTATGATTACCATGTTTGGTGAGGAGAACATGGAACTCACATAATTTCCACCAATACTTAAGCAGCTACACCAAATCAGTTATCAGTGCTAACTTCAAAAATTGTACAGAAGATTGTGCCTAAAAGAAGGAGAAATGCATTATATGTCAGGTCTTAATGACTATCACACAATCCCAAGTCTCCCCATAAATGTTCAAGCTATGAACTAAAAAGAAAAGCCATGGGCCCTACCCATTCCATATAATGCTAAACATTGAGAAAATGACCATGACAAAACTCCCTTTCTGAATAGTAGAGACTGGAAATTTTACACAGCAATCACTGGTTTATTACAGTTATGAAATCCTGCTGAGTACTTGTATTATTCCATTCTCACACTGTTTTAAAGAACTAACTGAGCCTGTGTAATTTATGAAGAAAAAAGGTTTAATTGACTCACAGTTCCACAGGTTTAATGGGAATCATGACTGGGAAGCCTCAGGAAACTTACAATGTCTTACCATGGCAGGTCAAGAGACAGTGACCGCGAGGGGGAAGTGCACACACTTTTAAACAATCAGACCTTGTAAGAACTCTGTCACAAGACAGCACTAGAGGGATGGTGCTAAACGATTAGAAACCATCCCCATGATTCAATCACTTCCCACCAAGCCTCACCTTCAACACATGGGGATTACAATTTGACATGAGATTTGGGTAGGGACACAGAGCCAAACCACTTCAGCAGCATTTGTGAAAGCTTCCTTCATTGTGGATGGGGAGCTTCCTTAATAAGACTGATTTTGTTCTGTTGGTAGGAACAGCTTGTCAATGATCTACAGTGTCGCCTATGTGAGTGCGTGTGTGTGTGAGTGTGTGCATGTGTGTTTTTGAGCATATGTGAGTGGGTGTTTGCACCTTTGTGAAGTCCTGTCTTGCTCATCATCCTCCAATGCATCATCGAAGTGATTACAGGGAAGAATGCCCTTTCAAGTGGCTGTACACCTTTCAACTACTTATATTTTGCTGCTGAAAGTTTAGTGACAAAACAGTAGTTTAATGCTTAAATAGACAAAGCCACTATTATGTTAATCTCTTGGTGTCCTTGATAAAACAATTTCTTCAAAAAAAAGCAGACTTCTGATCAGTTTGCTTCTAGAAATGTCTATATTACAGTGACCTCACTTAGTTTTCTTTTTCTAGACCCAAGTCTCAAGTTTGCTTTGTTTCTCAACTTATTCAGCCTATTCACTCTCATTTAACATAAGGCCACCTAAAAATATAAGCTTGAGTACAAAGGCTTGCACTTTATCAGAAGACAAAATGATCTTGTTTAACAGGAAACTTAATATTATCACCCAAACATTGGTGCATTTTTACTAGATTTGGGGCCTACAAGAAGGTTGGTTTTCTAATCTTGTGAAGCCACACATTTCTGGAATTTGTTCTCTTACATTTCTGTCTGGAAACTGTCAATTCTTCTCTGTGCCTGAGCTCATCTCTCTTGTTTAGTACTGTAGTAAAAGCAGAAAATAAATGCCAACAAACACTATCACTCCATTTCTTTCCAAACACTTCCCACAGAGCTGAAGTCTTGTCAGAGACATGCACTGCTTTCCAACTTGTCAACTATAAAAATTTTACCAACTGTGCTGTCTCTGCATAAAAAAGGACTTTAGTTTTCTAACTGCTGACATCAATTTCTTGGCAGATCATCATTAAACTGTTTAGCTAATTATATCTATATCAGTTATGGCAGCACCTTACCATCAAATTAGTTCTCTGTTGGTTAAATAGACTCTAATGCCTGAAACAAATAACTGTAACATGTGGAATGGTACAATCAACAGTCTAATATGTGTCATGGTACACCAACAGCCAATACACTCTAAAATGTGTGTCGGTATAAATAATTTACATATTGGTTAAAGAAACTAGTTTCTGAAACAAATGAGTCTAACATGTGTAATGGCACAAATAAGACAGAATACTTTTCTCAGTGCAATTTGGTGTCTCAAATGCATGTTCTTAGTCTGTAACTCATTCTCTTAAAGTTTGTTTATAAATCTCCCAGGAGCCAAGAGTATTTAGGTTAATATTTATGCATAAACCTTATCACTTTGCCACATAAAACACACTACCATATAGTTTTTCTCCCACCTTTCTTCTTTATTAGTAAATACATGTTACAGTAAATATAGATGGTTAGTAGTAAATATATGTTTTTATATGTTATAGGCCTACAGATTAGCTTATATCTCTGATGAAATCAGAATTCTTTCTAAATCACTTTTCTTTTAACTACAGCTTCTACTGTTTTAAAGAGTGTCCCTAGGCTTGAATTTCTTCATGTTCTTTTGCAAAGAAAGTCAATCCTTTGGGGAGGTGTTTGTGCTCTCTGTTCTATGACTTACTTAGGAAAAATCTATAAGCCATTATTCTGATGCTGAAAATGGGAAAATAACATATTTCTCTCTATTTGACACCCTTAATTTAGTTGTTGATTGCTCAGTGGATGGGGGAAACACAGGCCTAGACCTCCTCAGTTTGCCCATTTTGGCATGAAACCCTTACGCCATTAGTCAGAAAAATCACTCTCAGAGTTTTAATATTCTTACTGGCAGCACAGCGTAAGTAAAGCCTCTGTCTCACAAGTGGACGCTGGGCAGAAGCAAGCAGCCTCCACCTCTTAGCTTCACTCTCCAGAACTTATGTTTAGCAACAGGGAGTTAGGGCAGGAAATTAAATGCTGAAGTTCTACCTCTTCTGGGTAAATAGACCTCTGACTGGAAGTTGGGAGAGAGGAAGCCCTATCTTACTGTCTAACTAATCTGAAGTGGAGCTTCTGTTTTACCGAGTTGGAAGGGAAATGGAATGCTACAGGTGTTGATTAAGATCCAACATACTCTCACAATTCCTACTGAGTTTTAGATTTTATTAAACAAATATTCTTTATTATTGCTATGAACTTAAGTTCATTTCCAGATAAATGGTTTTGTTTTATATATAATTTTCACCTGTTTCACTGGGGAGTGAGTTTATGGAGCTCCTCACACTATCATGGTTCAAGTGGAACTTCTATACCCTATCTTTTAAATGCATATTTTCCAAATGCTTCACTTAATACAGCAGTTAGTAGAACCAGGCTTCCATTCATAAAAGACTTAATATTTCTTTAATTTTTATGTATGACCCATTTGCACTGACAGAATCAGGGCTCATCATTATATTCAGCTCATTGAGAGTTGTCGGTCCAATCTTACTTGTGCTATGTGAAAGCCAAGAGGTTTACTCCATGTTGAGGGTTGCTGCTGAGCATGACAAATCTTTATTATACTCTCTGAATAAGGGCCTTTGTAGATGTGTTGGACAACCATAATTTAGAGGAAATATTGGAATATTTGAGTTTCTTCTACTTATTTTATCTATAACCAGTTCATGTCTAATCCCATTTATTCAACTTCTGATAAAACCTATAGATTTATCATCTGTTTAACATATATCCCTTCCAAACTCCTAGTTAAGTGATAATAAAGTGGTAGAAACCCTTAGAACTAAAATAAGAGCCTAAAGAAAAGGGAAATAAATTTCAACAACTTTTGGAAAGATGTAGAAGATGAAAGAATGAGTGATAAATGACAGTAAAACGGGGATCATAGCTATAGGGGGATATTGAACATTAACTTGAATTGTAGAACACTATATTTACAGGATTTTGAAGCACCACTTATCATAGGAAGCAGGGATAAACAAAGAGTTTAAATATTAGGTGATTAGGTGAAAATTTTGTACACCAAAGTTAGGAGCGTGCAGCATAGAGATTATCTCATCTGCCTGTTGATTCTCTTCCACTCTCTGCAAGTCATTTTTCCATGTGCCAATTTACATATTACATGGGAGATTAAAGGAAGTTTTTTACTACCTGAAGAGATTGAATCTGAGTGACAGTATAGCCACACTAGCATAGGGTTGCCTGATTTAACAAATAAAAATACAGGAGGCCCAGTGAAGTTTGAATTTCAGATACACAAAAAGAAAACAATATACAATATCATGAAAATAGAAAAAAAGTTATAAAGTAAACAGTGAGGAGGGCATTTATACATAGAAACTAAATCAAATTATATATAATTAATCAGGTGATGGTAAATTGTTAGATTTCTCAGAACATCACACACCGGGGCCTGTTGTGGGGTGGGTGGAGGGGGGAGGGATAGCATTAGGAGATATACCTAATGTTAAATGAGGAGTTAATGGGTGCAGCACACCAACATGGCACATGTATACATATGTAACTAACCTGCACGTTGCGCACATGTACCCTAAAACTTAATGTATAATTAAAAACAAAAAACAAAAAAACAAATCATGTTGGGAAAAGTAGATATTCATATGCAAAATAATGAAGTTGGACCCTTACCTTATTATCATACAAAATTTAACTATAAATAGATTAAAGACCTAAATGTAAGAGCTAAAACTATGAAACTCTTAGATGAAAAATAACTTGAAGCTCCTTGCACTTGAGAGTCATGAATGGAATAAAATTCTTACCCATCTGTGGCAAAATAAGAAAAAAGAAAAAGAAAAAAAAAAAGAAAACAGAACAATGCTCCAAAATTATGAAAGGGTGATTTGTTCTTAGAACACTATAGATGAAGCAGTAATTCTTTTAGATATTAAAGACCTCCTAAAACTACTTTTCATATATGAGACAAACTGTGATTCAGAAAAAAAAGAAAAAAATAAACAAGAAAGTTAACCTACAGTTAGGATGTTATAGTATTCAGCAAATAAAAGTTTTACGTAAGAGGGCAGAGATAAAAATTTCAGAAAGAATGTCATAAAACAGGCCTGGAAAAGGACCAGACCAGATTGAATCAGGAGAATGAAGGAGATTTCTAGAAAATTAAATTTAATGAATAAATTATCGAATGTGTTTGGATATTTGGTAAATATTATCAAAAGTTTTTTGATAATACTTTTGATAGCTCTGTTGAGAACACTATGGATGAATAGATAAAAACAGTACAAATAAAGAAATAATGAGCTCTTCCAGTTCTGGACAAGATGGAGTATCAGGGACAGAATTTTTCCCCACACCTGAAATAATTATAAAAACAAAAACAAAATCAAAGAAGAAATAGACAAAATGTATACAATACAGTAATGTAATGTATTTAAAATGATTATATAAAATGTATACAATACAGTAATGTAATGTATATAAAATGATTATATAAACAGAATTATGTGAGATCAAAAGTGAAGAATTGAATAAGTCAAATTTGCTTCATATGTTATTTCAATTTCAAAGAAGAGATTTAATTGATAGAATTGCTGTCTTGTTTTGCCATCATCTACACTGAGATTAGAGACAGATAAAAAATGGCTCACATTTGGAATTACTTTGGAGCTAGACTCAAAATTTAGCTTTATTACTGGTAAGACTAAACTGGCAAAGGTAGAATGGACATGCAGCCAAATATGTGTGAACTCCAGACGAGAGTCCTACCATGCCACAGGTGGTGCCGGACAACTGACTGTCACCAGCAGATCACACAGAGAGTTTTGTAGATAGACTGAATCCGAAGAGAGCACTCCCAAAAGCAGAATCATCATATTATTTTTTCTCTCCCAAATGTAATAATCAGAAAAATCACTCCTTTTTCTAGGAAAAATAGGAGCCTTGGAGATGCTGGAATATTTCTCTTCTGCTGTCCTTTCCTAAAATGGAGTAAAAAGTCCCTTCCTTATATGTAAATACATGAGGAAGACATGTTCCCTGTCATATGGAAAGAGAAAATTCTGACATGTCTCAGAAGCAAACAAATAAACTAAACAGACAGACATAGATATACACTTTTTCTTTCTTATTTATGTACACAATAGACATTCTATTTTTTTATTATTATTATACTTTAAGTTTTAGGGTACATGTGCACAATGTGCAGGTTAGTTACATATGTATATATGTGCCATGCTGGTGTGCTGCACCCATTAACTCATCACTTAGCATTAGGTATTTCTCCTAATGCTATCCCTCCTCCATCCCACCACTTAACAACAGTCCCCAGAGTGTGATGTTCCCCTTCCTGTGTCCATGTGTTCTCATTGTTCAATTCCCACCTATGAGTGAGAACATGCGGTGTTTGGTTTTTTGTCCTTGCGATAGTTTACTGAGAATGATCATTTCCAATTTCATCCATGTCCCTACAAAGGACATGAACTCATCATTTTTATGGCTGCATAGTATTCCATGGTGTATATGGGCCACATTTTCTTAATCCAGTCTATCATTGTTGGACATTTGGGTTGGTTCCAAGTCTTTGCTATTGTGAATAGTGCTGCAATAAACATATGTGTGCACGTGTCTATAAAGACATATAGCAGCATGATTAAAAGTCCTTTAGGTATATACCCAGTAATGGGATGGCTGGGTCAAATGGTATTTCTAGTTCTAGATCCCTGAGGAATCACCACACTGACTTCCACAATGGTTGAACTAGTTTACAGTCCCACCAACAGTGTAAAAGTGTTCCTATTTCTCCACATCCTCTCCAGCACCTGTTGTTTCCTGACTTTTTAATGATTGCCATTCTAACTGGTGTGAGATGGTATCTCATTGTGATTTTAATTTGTATTTCTCTGATGGCCAGTGATGGTGAGCATTTTTTCATGTGTTTTTTGGCTGCATAAATGCCTTCTTTTGAGAAGTATATGTTCATATCCTTTGCCCACTTTTTGATGGGGTTGTTTGTTTTTTTCTTGTAAATTTGTTTGAGTTCATTGTAGATTCTGGATATTAGCCCTTTGTCAGATGAGTAGGTTGCGAAAATTTTCTCCTATTTTATAGGTTACCTGTTCACTCTGATGGTAGTTTCTTTTGCTGTGCAGAAGCTCTTTAGTTTAATTAGATCCCATTTGTCAGTTTTGGCTTTTGTTGCCATTGCTTTTGGTGTTTTAGACATGAAGTCCTTGCCCAAGCCTATGTCCTGAATGGTATTGCCTAGGTTTTCTTCTAGGGTCTTTGTGGTTTTAGGTCTAACATGTAAGTCCTTAATCCATCTTGAATTAATTTTTGTATAAGGTGTAAGGAAGGGATCCAGTTTCAGCTTTCTACATATGGGTAGCCAGTTTTCTCAGCACTATTTATTAAATGGGGAATCCTTTCCCCATTGCTTGTTTTTCTCAGGTTTCTCAAAGATCAGATAGCTGTAGATATGTGGCATTATTTCTGAGGGCTCTGTTCTGTTCCATTGATCTATATGTCTGTTTTGGTACCAGTACCATGCTGTTTTGGTTACTGTAGCCTTGTAGTATAGTTTGAAGTCAGGTAGCATGATGCCTCCAGCTTTGTTCTTTTGGCTTAGGATTGACTTGGTGACGTGGGCTCTTTTTTGGTTCCATATGAACTTTAAAGTAGTTTTTTCCAATTCTGTGAAGAAAGGCATTGGTAGCTTGATGGGGATGGCATTGAATCTATAAATTACCTTGGGCAGTATGGCCATTTTGACGATATTGATTCTTCCTACCCATGAGCATGGAATGTTCTTCCATTTGTTTGTATCCTCTTTTATTTCATTGAGCAGTGGTTTGTAGTTCTCCTTGAAGAGGTCCTTCATGTCCCTTGTAAGTTGGATTCCTAGGTATTTTATTCTCTTCGGAGCAATTGTGAATGGGAGTTCACTCATGATTTGGCTCTCTGTTTGTCTGTTGTTGGTGTATAAGAATGCTTGTGATTGGCTGGGCTCGGTGGCTCACGCCTGTAATCCCAGCACTTTGGGAGGCCGAGGCGGGTGGATCATGAGGTCAGGAGATCGAGACCATCCTGGCTAACAAGGTGAAACCCCGTCTCTACTAAAAATACAAAAAATTAGCCGGGCGCGGTGGCGGGCGCCTGTAGTCCCAGCTACTCGGGAGGCTGAGGCAGGAGAATGGCGTGAACCCGGGAAGCGGAGCTTGCAGTGAGCCGAGATTGCGCCACTGCAGTCCGCAGTCCGGCCTGGGCGACAGAGCGAGATTCCGTCTCAAAAAAAAAAAAAAAAAGAATGCTTGTGATTTTTGTACATTGATTTTGTATCCTGAGACTTTGCTGAAGTTGCTTATCAGCTTAAGGAGATTTTAGGCTGAGACAATGGGGTTTTCTAGATATACAATCATGTCATCTGCAAACAGGGACAATTTGACTTCCTCTTTTCCTAATTGAATACCCTTTATTTCCTTCTCCTGCCTAATTGCCCTGGCCAGAACTTCCAACACTATGTTGAATAGGAGTGGTGAGAGAGGGCATCCCTGTCTTGTGCCAGTTTTCAAAGGGAATGCTTCCAGTTTTTGTCCATTCAGTATGATATTGGCTGTGGGTTTGTCATAGATAGCTCTTATTATTTTGAGATACGTCCCATCAATACTTAATTTATTGAGAGTTTTTAGCATGAAGGGTTGTTGAATTTTGTCAAAGGCCTTTTCTGCATCTATTGAGATAATCATGTGGTTTTTGTCTTTGGTTCTGTTTATATGCTGGATTACATTTATTGATTTGTGTATGTTGAACCAGCCTTGCATCCCAGGGATGAAGCCCACTTCATCATGGTGGATAAGCTTTTTGATGTGCTGCTGGATTCGGTTTGCCAGTATTTTATTGAGGATTTTTGCATCAAGGTTCATCAAGGATATTGGTCTAAAATTCTCTTTTTTTGTTGTGTCTCTGCCAGGCTTTGGTATCATGATGATGCTGGCCTCATAAAATGAGTTAGGGAGGATTCCCTCTTTTTCTGTTTATTGGAATAGTTTCAGAGGGAATGGTACCAGTTCCTCCTTGTACCTCTGGTAGAATTCGGCTGTGAATCCATCTGGTCCTGGACTCTTTTTGGTTGGTAAGCTATTGATTATTGCCACAATTTCAGATCCTGTTATTGGTCTATTCAGAGATTCAACTTCCTCCTGGTTTAATCTTGGTAGGATGTATGTGTTGAGGAATTTATCCATTTCTTCTAGATTTTCTAGTTTATTTGCGTAGAGGTGTTTGTAGTATTCTCTGATGGTAGTTTGTATTTCTGCGGTATCGGTAGTGATATCCCCTTTATCATTTTTTATTGTGTCTATTTGATTCTTCTCTCTTTTTTTCTTTATTAGTCTTGCTAGCGGTCTATCAATTTTGTTGATCCATTCAAAAAACCAGCTCCTGGATTCACTAATTTTTTGAAGGGTTTTTTTGTGTCCTATTTCCTTGAGTTCTGCTCTGATTTTAGTTATTTCTTGCCTTCTGCTAGCTTTTGAATGTGTTTGCTCTTGCTTTTCTAGTTCTTTTAATTGTGACGTTAGGGTGTCAATTTTGGATCTTTCCTGCTTTCTCTTGTGGGCATTTAGTGCTATAAATTTCCCTCTACACACTGCTTTGAATGTGTCCCAGAGATTCTGGTATGTTGTGAAAAATAGACATTCTTAAAAGAAGTATGTAGAAGGTCAAATTCAGGTAATTATTTGCCTTATTTGTCACAGAGAAGGCTACCCTTCACTTAACTATTTTTGATGTTTTCACTCATGAAGACTCAGTAATCTTTTTAGCATTAGTTACTTTGACTTTGTTGGCTTTTGTGCTTAGAGCAATTTGAATTTGACAGTTCATTTATGGTGAATTTTAATAAGCAAAGTCAGTTAAACATCTGTCCAAATTATCACTTATATATACAGCAGTAGAATGTAAATTTGCACTGCAATGAGATTTATTGGAAAAGTTTAACATGCCAACACCTGCTCTGCCTGCCTATTTTTGCTTTGTTCTGTTTTATTTTTGAAAGATTCCACCAAATGTGTTAAATTTGATGAGAGTAAATATCATAATACATTATATTTTACTAAAATATACTAGGTGCGCTTTAGAAACTTGGAATGGGATATTTTTTCTTCATAATGATAGTTAAGAATCTTTTCTTATTTGCAGTTGTTTTTTCAAGTTGTCTTTTTTACCACCAAAAAACTATATATACATTAACATACTTATTTGTATAACTGAAACCTATTTCTAAACCCTTCACTTGGCTACTCTGAAGCAACTATCAGAATGACTACCAAGGTTTCAAAAAAATTAGAAAATAGTATTTTCAAACTGCATCTTTGAGTTTCACTTGTTGGAGAAATGTTTCTTTCATGCATTGCTTTACTTAGCTGAAAATTTAATTTATTTCCACTGGAATGATTTAGATTCAGGTTCTTATTTCATTAAGACCTGGTTCTTCTATATGGAATATGATTTTGCAATATGTCTACTCAAATTCCTAGCATATGCAAAATTTTAAAACTTTGGAGAATCTGTAGTGGTGCTTTCAGACCCATAACAACTTGTCAGCTTTGTGAGTACTGGGAATTGGTGTCATCTATTAGTCTTTCAAATATTTCCTGTATTTTATTCTAATGTGTTTGTTTACTCCCTGAGTTTTCCATGAATGATGAGTTTCATGAGGGCATAAACCTATCTTTTGTATATCAAATTTTTAGCAGTGTTTGTGCTTGTCTTTAGTCATCTCTTGCCTATAGCTGAGCAATTTATATGTCTTCATTTTATTTTCTTTAATTTTTTTGAGGACACAGTTTCTAAAAAATACACAGGCATGCAATGCATAATAATCACAATCTTGTTATGTTGCACAGGCTGGACTCAAACTCCTGGACTCAAGCAATCCTCCCACCTCAACCTTTCAAGTAGCTGGACTATAAGCCTGCACCACCAAGTCTGACATATACTTTCATTTTAAGTACTTGAAAGCCTATTGGGTGGAAAAAGAGATGTGTATTACATATATATTGTATAATATATATTATATATATAGTGTATATATATATGCACACACATTGGATTTCATGTATTTTCTTCATTCATGTTGAAATTCACATATCAAATTAAATGTTTGCATAATCTCTACTTAGTAAAGGTTTCCATTGTCTGAATAATTTAGGCTGGTGATACATAAACTCAAACTTTTCAATGACATAACAAAATATAAGGAACAGCTTATTATATTTTATAAAAAGTAAAATATTAGTATGGCATAATAGTCCACTGTGTGTGTATATATCTATACAAATCTATATATATATATAGAGAGAGAATATAATTTATTACATTGTTGCCTTCTGTTAAACATAGTTTATTTCACAAGAATTTGCTTGTTATAAATAATTCTGTGGTTATCGTATGTGTACATAAATGTTTAGTGATCTTGATTTGTTTTGTGAGAGTTTTCCAGCCATCGCTATTATTGGACATTAAGGACAGGTTAGCACCACAAGATATCTGGTTTTATTGTAAAATTTATATCCGTTCATAAGTGCATATATGTATTAAATGTCTAACATTTTAATCGTTTTGAAAAATTGTTATTTGAACATTCTTTTTATTTCTAATATTTATCCATATTTAGTAGGTGTAGATTTTTTTTTTTTTTTTTTTTTTTTTTTTTTTTTTTTGAGACGGAGTCTCGCTCTGTCGCCCAGGCTGGAGTGCAGTGGCGCGATCTCGGCTCACTGCAAGCTCCGCCTCCCGGGTTCACGCCATTCTCCTGCCTCAGCCTCCCGAGTAGCTGGGACTACAGGCGCCCGCTACCACGCCCGGCTAATTTTTTGTATTTTTAGTAGAGACGGGGTTTCACCGTGTTAGCCAGGATGGTCTCGATCTCCTGACCTCGTGATCCGCCCGCCTCGGCCTCCCAAAGTGCTGGGATTACAGGCGTGAGCCACCGCGCCCGGCCGTAGGTGTAGATATTTACAGAGTATGTGTGATGCTTTGATAAAGGCATGCAATGTATGATCATCACATTATGGAAAATGGAGTAACCATTCCCTCAAGCATTTATCCTTTATATTAAAAAATCCAATTGCACCCTTTTAGATATTTTAAAATGTAAAATTAAATTATCATTCACTATAGTCACCCTGTTGTGACATCAAACACTAGGTGCTATTTATTCTTTTTTTTTGTACCCACTAACCATTCCCACCTGCCCTCCATCCCCACCACTACCCTTCTCAGCCTCTAGTAACCATTTTTATACTCTGTCTCTTTGTGAATTCAATTGTTTTCATTTTTAGATCCCACAAATAAGCGAGAATATGTGATGATTGTCTTTCTGTGCCTGAATTATTTCACTTAACATAATCACCTTCTGTTCCATCCATATTGGAAATAAATAACTTTCTGTTCCATTTATGTTGTTGCAACGAACAGGATATCTTTTTTTTTTTTTTTTTTTTTTTGAGACGAAGTTTCACTCTTGTTGCCCAGGCTGGCAATGGCACGATCTCTGCTCAGTGCAACCTCCGCCTTCCAGGTTCAAGCGATTCTCCTGCCTCAGCCTCCCGAGTAGCTGGGATTACAGGTATGTACCACCACATCCAGTTAATTTTTGTATTTTTATTAGAGACAAGGTTTCTACATGTTGGTCAGGCTGGTCTCGATCTCTCAACCTCAGTTGATCCGCCCTCCTTGGCCTCCCAAAGTGCTAGGATTATAGGCCTGAGCCACTGTGCCTGGCCAGGATATCATTATTTATGGCTGAATAGTAGTCATTATGTATAAGTATCACATTGTCTTTATCCATTCATCTATTGAAGAACTCTTAGCTTGTTTCCAAATCTTGGCTACTGTAAGTAGTGCTGCAACAAACATGGGAGTACAGATATTTCTTTGACATACTGATTTCCTTTCTTTGGGGAATATACCAGCATTGAGATTGCTAGATTATATAATAACTCTATTTTTAGTTTTTTGAAGAACTTTCAAGCTGTTCTCCATAGTGAGTATATTAATTTACATTTTCACCAACAACGTACCAGTATGCCCTTTTCTCTACATCCTCACCAGCCTTTGTTATTGCCTATCATTGAATATAAACCATTTTAATTGGTGTAAGATATCTCATTGTGGTTTTGAGTTGCATTTCTTTGATTATCAGTGAAGTTGAGCACCTTCTAAAATGCTCGTTTAGTGTTTTTATGTCTATTTTGAGAAATGTCTATTTAAATATTTTGTCCATTTTTAAAATCCGTTTATCAGATTTTTTCCTTTAGAGTTGTTTGAGCTCCTTATACATTCTCATTATCAATCTTTGTCAGATAACTAGTTTGTAAATATTTTCTCCCATTCTGTGGCTCTGCACTTTGTTCATTGTTTCCCTGGCTGTGCAGAAGCTTTTTAACTTGATGTGATCCCATTTGCCCATTTTTGCTTTTGTTGCCTGTGCTTTGTGTGGTATTACTCAAATAATTTTTGCCCAGGCCAATGTCCTGGAGATTTTCCCCAAAGTTTTCTTGTAGTAGTTTCACATTTTGAGGTCCTAGATTTAATTCTTCAATATATTTTGATTTGATTATTGTATATGGTGAGAGATAGGTGTCTAGTTTCATTCTTCTGCATATGGATATAAAGTTTTCCCATCACTATTTATTGAAGAGACTGTCTTTTCTGTACAGTAGGGAAGAAGTATCAAAAGTGAGTCCACTATAGGTTTGTGGATTCATTTCTGGGTTCTCTGTTCTGTTCTATTAGCCTATGTTTTTGTTTTTATGCCAGTACCATGCTGTTTTGGTTACTATAGCTCTGTAGTATAATTTGAAGTCAGAGAATGTGATTCTTCCAGTTTTGTTCTTTTACTTAGGATAGCTTTGCCTGTTCTGGGTCTTTTGTGGTTGCATATAAATTAGTTTTTTTTTTCCTATTTCTGTAAAGAATGCCATTTGTACTTAGATAGGGATTACATTAGATCTATAGATTGCTTTGCGTTGTATGGGCATTTTAACAATATTGGTTCTTCCAATCCATGTGCATAAAATGCGTTTCCATTTTCTGGTGTCTTCTTCAATTTATTTCATCAGCATTTTATAGTTTTCATTATAGAGATCTTTCACACTGATGGTTAATATTGAGTGTTAAATTGATTGGATTGAAGGATGCAAATTATTGTTCCTGGGTGTGTCTGAGAGGGAGTTGCCAAAGGAGATTAACGTTTAAGTCAACAATGGACTGGGAGAGGCAGACCCACCCTGAATCTGGGTGGGCACCATCTAGAGAATCAGCTGCCAGCATAGCTAGAATAAAGCAGGTGGAAGAAAGTAGAATGAGCAGACTTGCTGAGTCTTCTGGCCATCTTTCTTTTGTGCTGAATGCTTTCTTCCCTCAAACATCAGACCCCAAGTTCTTAGCTTTTAGGCTGTTGGACTTACACTAGTGGTTGGCAAGGGGCTCTGGGGCCTTTGGCCACAGACTGAATCCTGCTCTGTCAGCTTCTCTACTTTTGAAATTTTGGAACTCGGACTGGTTTCCTTACTCCTCAGCTTGCAGATGGCCTACTGTGGAAATTCTTCCTGTGACTGTGTGAGTCAATGCTCCTTAATATACTACCCTTCATATATATACATCTATTCTATTAGTTCGGTCCCTTTTGAGAAGCCTGAATAGTACAGATTTTGGTACTGGGAGTGGTTCTAGAGGAACAGAATTTTAAGGATAAATTTCGTTAGTTTTGGGTTTTGGAGTTGGCAGCTTAATATAATTAGACCCAAAAATGCTAAGGACTCTACTTTTAATAGCATGTAGAACACTCATAGTCCTTGGCGGTGTAGACAGTTACGCAAAATAAATGCATTCAGTACTCCTGATTCACCACTCATGAGTGGCAAGGAGTTTAATGACTCTATGTATAATACCTTTGACCATATGTGGAGAACCAAAGAATATAATGAATTCGGTTGGTTGCTCCTAAGTTCACTAGACAAAGTAATGAAATAAAAGGATGAGCTTAAGGATTGTAATTCCTGGCTCCAGAGGCACAAACACAGCCTCAAGTCTTCTAAGATTGCCTCGAGTGAGAGGCAAATATAACTTAGCTTCTGCAGACAAAGGGCTGAAATTGTGGAAATCAGACACAAGCTCTTATCATGCCAGGGGTTGACCTGCTAGGAAAGGTGCACACTCATTCTTGCCAGGTATATTCTGTTAAAGTGACGGCATTGATAGGAAAAAAATGGGACTCTGCAACTTGTACTGGCGATGTGTGGGGGAGCCCTGATGAAGCTGGGAGCACTGAGCTTGTAAAGTCTGATGAGCCTTATTTGCCAGAGGAAACAGCCTCTCCACTGCCAGTGGTGGCAATGTTCCCTTCCTCACCCATGCTGCCATCAGCCTTTCTGCCTTTGTCTGAGGTGAAAAACCCTGTGCTGCCTAAGGCAACAGTGATGGCCTCCCCTGAGGCAGTTTCCCGGCAAGACAATGCTGATTCTCTTTAGGACCCACCCCCAACACCCCTGTTGGCTTCTAGACCTATAACTAGACTTAAGTCCTGGCAGGCCCCTAGAAATGAGATTCAGAGTGTGATCCATGAGGAACTGTGCTACACTCCAAAAGTACTGCTTGAGTTTTCTAATTTATATAAGCAGAAGCCTGGAGAACAGGCATGGGAATGGATATTAAAATTATGGGATAATGGTTGAAGGAACATAAATTTAAATCAAGCTGAATTTATTGATATGAGGCAACTAAGTGGGGATTCTGCATTTAATGTTGCAGTTTGGGGAATTAAAAAAGGTTCCAATAGCTTATTTACTTGGTTAGCTGAAATATGGATCAAAAGATGGCCCACTGTGAGAGAGCTGGAAATGTCTAATCTCCCTTGGTTTAATATAGAGGAAGGGAGCCAAAGCCTTAGGGAGATTGGAATGCTAAAGTAGATTAGTCACATTAGACCTACTCATCGCAGCTGCAAGGCTCCAGAGGACATCCCCTTCACCAATAGTTTGTAAAATAGATTTGTGAGGGGAGCCCCTGCATTCTTGAATAGCTGTGTGATTCCTCTTCTTTGTATGTTAGCTCTTACAGTGGGAACCATAGTCACTCAATTAGTAAATTTAAATGCAATATGAATAATTGGTTCCTGAGGTGGCAGGGTCAAGTGGCAGCACTCAACCATCAAAGGCAAGGTGGGCATAACTCCTGTAATGGACAGCATAAGCAAAGCAGAAATCATAATAGTCTGACCTGTGTAGAGTCCTGGGATTTGTTAATTAGTCATGGTGTTCCTGGAAGTGAAATTGATAGGCTAAGGACTCCACTACACTACTCACAATTTATGCTGTTAATCTTTCTCCTATCCTTTCAACAAGAGACCTCCAGCCTTTTTCCAGGGTAACTGTGCATTGGGGGAAGGAGAATGATCAGAACTTTCAGGGACTACTGGACACTGGCTCTGAGCTGATGCTGATTCCAGGGAGCCCAAAACATCTTTGTGGTCCTCCAGTTAAAGTAGGGGCTTATAGAGGTCAGATAATTGATGGAGTTTCAGCTCAGCTTTAACTTACAGTGGGTCAGGTGGGTCCACAGACTCATCCTGTGGACATTTCTCTAGTGCCAGATGCATAATTTGGCTTAGACATACTTAGTAGCTGGCAGATCCCTACATTGGCTCCCTGACTAGTAGAGTGAAGGCTATTATGGTGAGACAGGCCAAATGGAAGCCATTAGAGCTTTTTTTACCTAAAAAATAGTAAGTCAAAAACAATATTGCATCCTTGGAGGGATTAAAGAGATTAGTGCCACCATTGAGGACTTGAAAGATGCAGGGGTGGTGATTCCCACCACATAACCATTAAACTCTCCTATTTATCTTGTGCAGAAGACAGATGGATCTTGGAGAATGACAGTGAATTATTGTAAACTTAACCAAGTGGTTACAATCATTACAGCTGCTACACAAGATATGGTTTTATTCCTTAACAAATTAACACATCTCCTGGTTCCTGGTATGCAGTCTTGATTTGGCAAATGCCTTTTTCTCCATTCCTCTTACTAAGGCCCATCAGAAGTGACCTGCCTTCAGCTGGCAAGGCCAGCAATATACCTTCACGGTCCTACCTCAGGAGTATATCAATTCTTCAGCTTTGTGTCACAATCTTGTTCACAGAGATCTTGATCACTTTCCCTTCCACAGGTTATCATGCTGGTCCATTACACTGGTAACATTATGTTGATTTGATTTAGTGAGTGAGAAGTAGCAAACACACTGGACTTATTGGTGAGACATTTGCATGCCATGGAATGATAAATAAACATAACTAAATTCAGGGACCTTCTACCTCAGTAGAACTTTTAGGGGTCCAGTGATTTGGGGCCTGTCACAACGTTACTTCTAAGGTGTATTAGTCCATTTTCATTCTGTTCATAAAGACATACACAAGATGGGGCAATTTACAAAAGGAAGAGTTTTATTGGATTTACAATTCCACATGGCTGGGGAGGCTTCACAATCATGGCAGAAGGTGAAAGGCAAGGAGGAGCATGTCACATCTTACATGGATGGTGGCAGGCAAAGAGAGAAAAGGGAGCTTGTGCAGGGAAACTCCCATTTTAAAACCATCAGATCTCATTAGATACATTCATTAGACTCATTAGACATATTAGAAGCAAACTTCTGCCTGGACATCCAGGCATTTCCATACATCCTCTGAAATCTAGGTGGAGGTTCCCAAACCCCAATTCTTGACTCCTGTGCACCCTCAGGCTCAACACCATGTGGAAGCTGCCTAGGCTTGGGGCTTCCACCCTCTGAAGTGACAGCTCAAGCTGTACCTTTGTCCCTTTTAGTCACAGCTGGAGCAGCTGGGGCATAGGACACCAAGTTCTTAGACTGCACACAGCAGAGGGACATTGGGCCCAGTCCACAAAATCATTTTTTCTCCTAAACCTCCAGACCTCTGATAGGAGAGACTGCCACAAAGGTCTCTGACATGCCCTAGAGACATTTTCTGCATTGTTTTTGTGATTAACATTTGGCTCCTAGTTACTTATGCAAATTTCTGCAGCAGGCTTGAATTTCTCTTCAAAAAAAAAAAAACAGGTTTTTTTTCTATAGCATTGTCAGGCTGCAAATTTTCCAAAGGTTTATACTGTTTCCCTTTTAAAACTGAATGCCTTTAACAGTACCCTGGTCACCTCTTGAATTCCTGGCATCTTAGAAATTTCTTCGGCCAGATACCCTAAGTCGTCTCTCTCAAGTTCAAAGTTCCACAAATCGCCAGGGCAGGGGCAAAATGCTACCAGTACCTTTGCTGAAACATAAGAAGAGTCACCTTTGCTCCAATTCTCAAGAAATCCTCCTCTCTGAGACCATCTCAGTCTGGATTTCATTGTCCATATTGTTATCAGCATTTTGGTCAAAAACATTCAACAAGTCTCCAGTGAGTTCCAAACTTTCCCACATTTTCCTGTCTTCTTCCGAGCCCCCAAACTGTTCCAACCTCTGCCTGTTACCCAGTACTAAAGTCATTACCACATTATGGGTATCATTTAGGCAGCACCCAACTCTACTGGTACCAATTTACTGTACTAGTCCATTTTCATGCTGCTGATAAAGACATACCTGAGACTGGGCAATTTACAAAAGAAAGAGGTTTATTGGACTAACAGTTCCACATAGGTGGGGAGGCCTCACAATCATGGTGGAAGGTGAAGGGTGAGGAGGAGCAAGTCACATCTTCCATGGATGGTGGCAGGCAAAGAGAAAAGAGAGCTTGTGCATGGAAACTCCCATTTTTAAAATCACCAGATCTCATGAGACTCATTCATTATCACAAGAACTGCACAGGAAAGACCCACCTCCATAATTCAATCACTTCTCACAGGGTTCTTCCCATGGCATGTGGGAATCATTGGAGTTACAATTCAAGATAAGACTTTGGTGGGGACACAGCCACACCGTATCACAGGTGAAGGATAAGTTGCTGCATTTGCCCCCTCCTACACCCAAGAAAGAGGCACAATGCCTACTGGGTCTATTTGGACTTTGGAGGCAACACATTTCTCATTTGGGTGTGTTACTCTCACCCATTTATCAAGGAACTTGAAAGGCTGCCAGTTTTGAATAGGGTCCAGAACAGGAGAACGCTCTGCCGCTTGGGCCCCATGACCCAGCAGATGATTCAATGGTGCTTGAGGTGTCAATGGCATATAGCAATACTCTTTGGAGCCTTTGGCAGGCCCCCATAGGTAAAGGACCATGGAGGACTCTAGGATTTTGGATCGAAGCCCTGGAATCTTCTGCAGATAACTGCTCTTCTTTTGAGAGACAGCTCTTGGTCTGTTACTGGGCTTCAATGGAAACTGAATGTTTTTGACTATAGGTCATTAAGTCACCATGTGACTTGAACTATCATGAGCTGGGGTGCTTTCTGACCCTTCTGACCATAAAATGGTGTGTTTGTAGACTGATATCATCATCAAATGGAAGTGATATATACGTGGTTGGGCTCAAGCAAGTCTTGAAGGCACAAGTAAGTTACATGAGGGACTCAAATGCCCATGGTCTCCATTCCTGCCACCCTGCCTTCTCTCCTCCAGCCTACACCAATGGCCTCATGAGGAATTCCCTGTGATCAGATGACAGAAGAAGAGAAGACTAGGACCAGGTTTATAGATGGTTCTGCATGATTTGCAGGCACCACCCTAAAGTGGACAGCTGAAGCACTACAGTGCCTTTAGATGCTTCGTGCAGTATTGTTCCTGGGTCTGTCTGTAAGGGTGTTTGTAAAGGAGATTAACATTTATGTCAGTGGACTTGGGGAGGCAGACCCATTCCATATCTGGGTGGGCACCATCTAATCAGCTGCCAGCATAGTTAGAGTAAAGCAGGGAGAAGAAAATGGAATGACCAGACTTACTGAGTCTTCTAGCTTTCATCTTTACCCTGTGCTGGATGCTTCCTGCCCTCTAACATAAGGCCCCAAATTCTTTAGCTTTTGGACTCTTGGATTTACACCAGTGGTTCACCAAGAGTTATTTGGCCTTTGGCAACAGACTGAAGGCTGTACTATTGGCTTTCCTACTTTTGAGGTTTTGGGACTTGGATTGGCTTCCTTGCTCCTTGGCTTACAGACAGCTTATTGTGGGACTTCACCTTTTGATCATGTGAGTCAATACTCCTTAATAAACTGCCATTCATATATATGTCTTTCCTATTAGTTCTGTCCCTCTAGAGAACCCTTACTAATACATATTTGTTTTTCTAGGTATTTAATATTATGTGTGGCTATTGTGAATTAGATTACTTTTAAAATTCTTTTCCCCATTGTTTCTTGTTGGCATGTAGAAAGGCTACTGATTTTTCTACATTGATTTTATATTCTCCAACTTTATTAATTTGTTTATCAATTCTCATAGTTTTCTTGTGAAGTCTTTATGTTTTTCCATGTATGATAACATTATCTGCAAAAAAGGATAATTTGTCTTCCTTTATAAATTAGATGCCCTTTATTTCTTTAACTTCTCTCATTTCTCTAGCTAGGACTTCCAGTACTATGTTTAACAACAGCGGTGAAAGTAGGTATCTTTTTTTGTGTTACATATCTTTGAGGAATGTGTTTCAGTTTTGTTCTGTTACGTATGATACCAGTTGTGGGTATTTAGTATGTGACTTTTATTATGTTGAGGTATGTTCCTTCAATACCCCGATTTTTGAGGGATTTTATCATAAAGAGATGTTAAATTTTTCTAAAAGCATTTTCAGCATCAATTGAAATGGTCATATAGTTTTTGTTTCTCATTCTGTTGGCATAATGTATCAAATTGATTCATTTGTATATTTTAAACCATCTTGCATTGCAGAGAAAAGTTTCACTTGTTTATGACAAATGGTAGTTTTGATGTATTGTTG
Organism: Homo sapiens; assembly: GCF_000001405.40. Classification (NCBI taxonomy): domain Eukaryota; kingdom Metazoa; phylum Chordata; class Mammalia; order Primates; family Hominidae; genus Homo; species Homo sapiens. The sequence continues at coordinate 45,901 of NT_187536.1, read as the reverse complement.
AATTTTATTTGCTAATATTTTGGTGTGGATAATTGCATCAATATTCATCAGGGATACTGGCCTGTAGTTTTCTTCTTCTTTCTTTCTTTTTTTTTAATGTGCCTTTGTCTAGTTTTGGTTTCAGAGTAATTCTTACTTTGAGTAATGAATTTGAAAGTATTCCCTCCTCCTTGATTTTTTAGAAAAGTATAACTAGGCTTGTTATTAGTTCTTCTTTAATTGGTCGTATTCAGTAGTAAAACTGTTCATGTTCCAGGCATTTCTTTACTGGGAGAATTTTTATTATGGCTTCAATATTGCTACTTGTTATTGGTTTGTTCAGGTTTTGAATTTCTCCCTTCTTCAGTTTTTGTAGGCTGTATGTGTCTAGGAATTTGTCCACTTCTAGATTTTCCATTTATCTGGCATGTAGTTACTCAAGGTATTCACTAATAATCCTTTGAGTTTCTGCAGTATCTGTTGTACTGTCTCATTTTTGTCTCTAGATTTTTTTATCTTGATCTTCTTTCTATTTTCCTTAGTTTGGCTAAAGGTTTGTCAACTTTGTTCAACTTTGCAAAAAAACAACTTTCTGTTATATTGATATTTTGTATTGTTTTCTTCATTTCAATTTCATTTATTTCTGTTCCTCTGTTCTTTATTTTTGTTGTATTCTACTAATTGTAGGTTGCCTTTGCTCTTGCTTGTCTAGTTCTTCAAGATGCGTGGTTAAGTTGTTGATTCAAAGGTTTTCTTCTATTTTTATGTAGTTTTAATTTTTTTATCACTATAAACTTTCCTTTTAGTGCTGCTTTTGCTGTGTTTCATAGGTTTTGATATGCTGTGTTTCCTTTACCCTGGGTTTCAAGAAATTTTTCAATTTTCTGATTAATTTCTTTATTGACCTGCTGGCTATTTTAGAGCAAATTGTTTATTTTCCATGTGTTTGTATATTTTAAAAAATTCCTCTTGTTGATTACTAGTCTTATTCCATTCTGTTCAGAGAAGATGCTTATTATCTTGTTTTTTTTTATTGTTTTAAGGTTTGTTTTGTGACATAACATATGGTCTATTCTTGAGAATGATCCATGGGCTGAGGACAAGAATGTGTATTGTGCGGCCATTGGGTGAAATGTTCTGTAAATATCTATTAGGTTCCTTTGATTGATAGTGCAGATTAAGTCCAATGTTTGTTGATTTTCTGCCTGGAAGGTCTGTTCAATACTGAAAATGGGATGTTAAAGTCTCTAGGTGTTGTTGTATTAGGGTCAATCACTCTCTTTAGCTCTAACAATATTTGCTTTATATATCTGGATGCTCACATGTTGGTTGAATATATATTAAACATTATTATATTCTCTTGCAGAATTGACTCCTTTTGCATCATATAGTGGCCTTTTCTGTTTTTTCTTATAGCTTTTATCTTAAAATCTATTTTGTCTAATATAAGTATGGTGACTCCTGTTCTGTTTTAATTTCAACTGGCATGAAACACCTTTGTCTATCCCTTTATTTTCAGTCTATATATGTCTTTACATGGGAAGACTGTTTCTTAACCACAGAACCTTGGATGTTATTTTTCTTATCTAGACAGCAAGTCTATGTATTTTTATTGAAGTGTTTAGTTCATTTATATTCAATGTTATTATTGATAAATAAGGACTTACTTTTGCCATTTTGTTATTTTTTTCTGCTTGGTTTTTGGCCAGCCTGCCTTTATTTTTTTTTTTCTCTCTCTGTCTCTTTCTTTCTTTCTCTTTTCTTTCTCTTCCTTCCTTCCTTCCTTCCTTCCTTCCTTCCTTCCTTCTTTCCTTCCTTCCTTCCTTCCTTCCTTCCTTCCTTTCTTTCCTTTCCTTTCTTGCCTTCATTTTAGGGACAGTTATTTTCTCTGGTGATACAATGTAGTTTCTTTTTATATGCTTTTTGTGTCTCCTTGTATGTGTTTTGCTGGAACTTTCTATGAGGCTTGAAAATTCTATCCTGTAAACTATGACTTTAAGCTGATAAAGCACTGTTTGCACAAACAACCAGCCAAAAAAATAAATAAAAGCTCTACACCTTAACTTCATTTTCCCACTTGTTAAATGTTTGCTCCCTCTATTTATATCTTAATTGCTATGTCTTTAAAAGTTTTTTAAATTTGCTTATTGTTTAGAATTTCTTCTTAAGATAATAGTAATTAAACACAATAGTTACAGTATTGTAACATTTTCTGTTATTCTGTCTACTTGCTATTACCAGTGAGTTTTCTACCTTCAGATTACATCTTCTTGCTCTTTGACATCCTTTTATTTCTGACTGAAGTACTATCCTTAGCATTTCTAATTGGACAGCTGTGGTGTGGATGAAATTCCTCAGCTTTCATTTGTCTTGGAAAATCTTCATTTTCCTTTGTGGTTGAAGGATATTTTTCTCAGATATTCCATTCTAGGGTAAAAGCTTATTTCCTTTAGCACTGTAATACATCATGCCACTCTATCCTGGCCTGTAAGATTTTCACTAAAAAGTCTGCTGAAAGATGTATTGGAGCTCTATTTTATATTATTTGTTTCTTTTCTCCTGCTGCTTTTAGGGTCCTTTCTTTATCCTTGACCTTTGGGAATTTGATTATTAAAAGCCTTGAGGTAGTCTTTGGATTAAATCTGCTTGGTGTTCTATAACCTTTTTTATTAGGATATTGATATTTTTCTCTAGGTTTGGCAAGTTGTCTGTTATTACCCTTTGAGTAAACTTTCTACCCCTGTCTTTTTCTCTGTCTCCTCTTCAAGGCCAATGACTCTTAGATTTGCCATTTGAATCTATTTTCTAGATCCTATAGATAAGTTTCATTTTTTTTTTTTTTTGAGACAGAGTCTTGCTCTGTTGCCCAGGCTGGAGTGCAGTGGTGTGATCTTGGCTCACTGCAAGCTCCGTACCCCGGGTTCACGCTATTCTCCTGCCTCAGCCTCCTGAATAGCTGGGACTACAGGTGCCCCCCACCATGGCCAGCTAATTTTTTTGTATTTTTAGTAGAGAGAGGGTTTCACCGTGTTAGCCAGGATGGTCTCGATCTCCTGACTTAGTGATCCACCTGCCTTAGCCTCCCAAAGTGCTGGGATTACAGGCTTGAGCCACTGTGCCTGGACTATTTTTTATTCTTTTTCTTTTGTCTCCTCTAACTGCATGTTCAAATAGCCTGTCTTCAAGCTCACTAATCCTTTCTTCTGCTTTATCAATTCTGCTATTAAAGGACTCTGCTTCATTCCTCAAGATGTCAATTGCATTTTTCAGTTCCAAAATTTCGGCTTGATTCTTTTTAATTACTTAAATCTCTTTGTTAAATTTATCTGGTAGAATACTGAATTCTTTCTCTTTATTATGTTGAATTTATTTTAGTTTCCTCAACACAGCTATTTTGAATTCTGTGTCGAAAAGATCACATATCTCTTTTTCTACAGAATTGGTCCCTCTTGCCTTATTGATTTCATTTAGTGAGTTCATGTATTCCTAAATGATCTTGCTATTGTGGACATTTTTCTGTGTCTGGGCATTGAAAAGTTAGATATTTGTTGTGGACTTCAGAGTCTGGGCTTATTTGTACCTGTCTTCTTGGGAAGGCTTCTTGCAAACTTGGGGTACTGCCTTGAAGGTTTTGAACAAGATCTGGATCACCAGGCGGAGTCTCTTGTTCTCTTCCCTTACTTTGTTCCAAATCAATAGAGAATCTCTCTCTCTCTGCTCTGAGCCATCTGGAGCATTCCAGTGGCCAACATCGCTATGACTGCCCTGGGTTTACCATGATGTTAGCACAGCAGTGGGTCTCACCAAATACCTGCTGTAACCACTCCCTGGCTTTCACCTGTGTTTGCTCAAGGCCCTAGAGTTCTATACTCATTAATTAGGTGATAAAGCCAGCCAGACCTTTGTTCTTCCTTTTGGGGCAATGAGCTCTCTCAGGCCCTGAGTGGGTCAAGAGCTGCCATCAGGGGACCAGGGATTAGTTAAAAACCTTAGAAGTCTACCTGGTGTTCTAATGTACTGCAGCTCAGCTGGTACTCAAACCACAAGATGCAGTCCTTTTCACTTTTTCTTCCTCTTTACAAAGGCAGAGGAGACCCACCCTGTGGCAACCATCACCACAGACCCATGGGAAGTACTGCCAGACTATCACTGATGTTCCCTTTAATCCCAGGGACACTTCAGTCAACCTGTGGTGAAAGCTGACTGGCCTGGGACTCTCCCTTCAGGACAGCGAACTCCCCTCTGACTCAGGGCAGGTCCAGAAATGCCATTCAAGAGTCAATTCCTGGAATCAATGACCCCAAGAACTTACTTGGTTCTCTACCCCACTGTGGCCAACTTGGTACCTAAAGTGTAAGGCAAAGTCCCTTTTACTTTTCCTCCCACTTTTCTAAAGCAGAATGAATCTCTCCACATAACTACCACAGCAAAAAATGTGCTGATTCTCACCTGAAGCCAATAAGTCTGAGTCTGACCTAAGGCCTTCAACATAGTACATGGGTGTCACTGCTAGTTTCTCCAGGGTAGGGTTTTTTTAGTTAGTAGGTGATGAAGGTTGTCAGGACTGGGTTCTTTCCTTTAAAGCAGAAGGTTCTCTTCTGGTCCACAATGTGTCTATAAATGTTATCCCAGAGAAAGGGCCTGAAAAGAGGGTCTACCTACTCTGACCAGTACCCTATTCTGTTATAGGTGAGCTAGTATACAAGATGTAAGACAAAGTCCTCCCCACTCTTCTTTCTCCTGTCCTCAAATGGAAGGAAGGAAACTCTTTTGGAGTGCTGAGCTGTGCAGTCTGGGGTTAGGGAAGGAGTGATGCCAGCACTGCTTTAGCTGCCAAGGATGGTGTTCTAGCAAATCACATTTTCCCCCATTCCCCTGACTCAGGGCCCAGTTCAGCACCAGGATTCTAGGATTTGCAGTCTTTTTGTCCTAGTTGTCTTTCAAGTTTATTTGGTTCCTCAGAGCTCTTTAGCCCACAATAGCAAGGCTTGCAGGAACTCAAGTCTGACTGCTGGGATTGAGGATTTCCCTCTGGCTAAGCCTGTTTTAAATGTTACCTCTGTGGGCAGGCATCAGCTGAATTTGTTCCAGTTTTTCTTTCTGCTATAACAGGGCAGCACTGAGGTAGTGCCTCACAGTTGCTGTTCCCTCACTCTCCCCAGAGCACAGGAACACTCCCTGCACCACTCAGCTGCTGCTGGGGAATATAAGAGGGGTGGCATTTGCCATTCAAGACTGTTTTTCCTACCTCTTCAGTGCCCTCTTTCAGCTATATGAAATTACAACCAGGTGCCATGAGGGCTCATCTGATTTTTGATTCTTATAAATGTGCTTTTTGTCTGAAGATAGTTGTTAAACTGTTATCCTTGTGGGGATAATTGATGGAGCCTTCTATTCTGCCATCTTCATTCATACCGTCCTGACCATTCTTTATATATGTGTATCATTTGAAATTGTACTGTTTATCACACACAGATGTAAAAAAGACTCAAATTTTAATCTGCATTTGGAGAATAACTGCATTAACAATTACATTTAAAAACTGCATGACATAAAAAGATTTTTTAAAGTGTTTTTGTTTACATTCTGCAAGCATGAAAGTTTCTGTTTGAACCTAAATGATGTAAGACATGAGCAATCACTGAAGTCATTGCCTTAATCCCAAATTCACAAAACAATCTATCAATCATAACAAAATTCTTGCTTTATTGTCTGTTTACAGCTCCATAAAGTATTAGATTAGTGATCAAAGATCACATCTTTTGATGCTGACACCAAAAGACAAATACCAGAAGAATTTACACATGGGGAGGAACTATCCTTCAGATAACAGACTGACATCCTGAAACATAATAATGGTGTATGACAATTTGAAGTGTGGGGTCCTGACTATATTAAATACAGGGTTCAGGGAGTTGTAAGTCATTTATGGTAACTGGCTTGTCAAGGTGACATATCTTGTCAAAGAAAGGTTGGAAAAGAGAAGCCTGTGGTAAATGAAGACAGACTTTATATTTTATCAATATTTCCAACCCACTGAGTTGATATTTTTTTCATCTTTATATACTAATGATAAAAGGAATTCAGATTATAAATTACATTTATTATAAATATTTCATAAGCATTGTAGACATATTTTTATAGACTATAAATATTTATTTTCTTTTCCTCAGAAAATGTTACACAGAAACTCAAATCTGAATGATAAAACCAAGCTTTGAAAGTCCCTTTATTTATTTCAATTTTACAAAATAATATATAATCATACTCACAAACTTGAAAACATTTCTGACATTTTAGTTTACTTTTCATTTGTAAATTAGTACAATATAGAACATTTAAAAATATTTACTCTAGGAGAGCAAGTTCTCTTTGCTATTCAAGGAGAATAAGGCAGCTATCCAAATACACAGCTAATTTTATAGCTTTCTCATAAAGCAATTTTGATTCACTTCTTGGATTTTCTATTTTTTTAAGAATATATGTATATCCAGAATTTTAATGATGACCTCATAAAATTGCTCATATGAAGACATTATTGAAACTTGTATATAATATAAATACCTGATTATATATATACACTTACGTGCTTAATATATTGAGGTACTGATCACATACCATATCAGGATAAATGTTCTTTACTATTAATAACATACATATATCACATTTACTCAGACCTATGGGCTCATTTGTATATTAACAATATTATTTACCCAAAATGAATTTTTTTACTTTTTTATTATTATTCATTTAATTAATATGTGTATCATGGGACAGTCTGCATTTAAAAAACTATTTGGTTAATCATTTGTCATTCACAGTCCTACAGAAAAAAGAAACCAACTTTTACTGATGAAGACCAAATGATGCATTAAAATGTAACTGTAATTTCAAATTTTAAACTTATTGCTTAATAATTCCCTACCTTAAAGAAAATGGTGGAGAAAAGAAAGTAGGGCAAACATATGAGAATAAAATACCATATTCTTTTTATTCAGCAATTTTTAGTGAAGTACACAAATCTGATAGTATAAAGGTAAAATTTTAGAAGAAACAAGCTACAAGATTTTTAAATTCGAACAGTTTTCTATTTCATTTTCAAATGGTCCACAGACATACACATTCCTCATATACTAAGGCATTCATGCAAATGCTTAAAGTAGAATTTTCCCTCTCTTTTTTATAGATATAGAATAGAAGTAAGGTAAACTATTCTCTCTTTAACGTAGAAGTGATGAAAAATGCATGTGTTTGTGCATACACACGCACAAAGAATAGAGGAACACTAGAAAATGGGATTTTTGAAAGAGTAGGAAACAGGGATCCAGCTGAGTTAATAAAGGGCAGTTTAAGTGCTCAAGACTATATTTGGAAACTAGATAGTCATGCCTCTTATTGACAAAGATATGTTGGTAAGCAACTTTGTCATTGCACAACTATCATAAAGTATACTTACATAAACCTAAAATGTACAGTCTACTAAACACCTAGGCTATAAGGTAAAACCTATTGCTCCTAGGCTACAAACCTGCAGAGAATGTTACTATTCTGAGTACTGTAAGCAACTCTAATACAATAGTTCTTGTGTATATGAACATAGAAAAGTTACAATATGATAAAAGTTTTATAAGATCGCTGTCAAATATGTGGTCTGTCAAGTGTTAATATTTAATGATTGCAGGTTTAAAATCATTACTTCTCAACACAAGCTACATTTTATGTTCAATTTTATACAAGCAATGATGCAAAGATCTCACACTAGAGGTTTTGATTCATTGATCCTAGTATGTTTATGAGACACTGTCTAGCCAGGGAGTTAATAATGTAGGCCATTCTCCATTCTTATAGATAGATGATTACTTGAAGACTGCATAGCAAAAAACATTTAGAACAAAAATTGATACTCGTCTCCTCTTAGCCACCCAATAGGTGTGTGGCACTGACTGAGAGCTTGTATTTTTCTGGGGGCAGGAGAGGCTTAGCTTCCTCATGCATAAAACAAATAGTTTGAACTAAGTTACGTTTAAATTATGTAAAAATTGAGCTCTAAAATATCTTATCATTTATGTTTCTGAACATTTATAACATTTCATGAGAGCCCAGAAACAAGAACATTACATGTAACAACTGCAATATCAGTTGTTGATTTGGCTTATTTAATAGAAACACCTTGCTCAGAAAGTTATCTACATTCAGAATATTGTTTTTCTTTTTTTTCTTTTTTCGAGACCGAGTTTCACTCTGTCACCCAGGCTGGAGTGCAGTGGCGCGATCTCAGCTCACTGCAAGCTCCACCTCCTGGGTTCAAGCCATTCTCCTGCCTCAGCCTCCCAAGTAGCTGGGACTACAGGCACCTGCCACCACGCCTGGCTAATTTTTTGTATTTTTAGTAGCGATGGGGTTTCACCTTGTTAGCCAGGATGATCTCGATCTCCTGACCTTGTGATCCGCCCGCCTCAGCCTCCCAAAGTGCTGAGATTACAGGCGTGAGCCACTGCGCTGGGCCAGAATACTGTATTTTTTATAGAAGAGAATTATGATGAAATGTAAAAATTATATTTGGCATCATAAGACTTGTATAAATTTCAGCTTTACCTTTTGCAATCTCATACATTCTTGTGTATTTGACCTTTTTAAGTTTGTTGTTCTTATCTTAAAAATGCTAAATGGCATAAGTGAATACACCATGTGTATTTTATGTAGCATAATCATTCAGAGAGATGTTTTGAATATAGATGACACTGTATGTTTAAATAATTTTATAAAATTGTTAGAGGTACTTTTAATTTAAAGTGAGTTTTTAAAGAAGGGATAGAATATGAAATTCTGAAGATGAAAAAAAGGAATGTTTAGATTGGTAGACAAGTCATTTGGAACTGCTATTTAGTAAATTTCAGCTTTGTACTTTCAAGGAAAGATTAATCTACTGTAATTCCAGTGGAGAAATGTAATTTTTTGTCCACTGTTGGTGGGAATGTAAAATGGTATGTGTAATGTGAAAAAACAGTATAGAAATTTATCAAAAATTTGAAAATGAAATTACTGTATGATACAGCAATTCCACTCAGTATATACCAGAAATAAATGAAAACAATGTCTCAAGGAGATGTTTGTACATCCATATTCATGGCAGCATTACTCATAATAGTTAAAATGTGGAAGTAACACAAACCCAAGTGTCCATTGATGAATAAATAGCTAAGCAAAATGAATAAATAAGCAAAATCTGGTATGTATGTATGTATACACACACAAACACATGCACACGTACACTCATATACATATATATATATACACACACACACACATCATGGGATACTCTTTGGCCTTAAAACCCAAAAACAAGTCTCATCCAATAACCTTGAAGAAATAATGCTAAGTGAAATGAGCCAGTCACAAAAAGAAAAGTACTGTATGATGCCACTCATTTGTGATACTTACAGTATTTACAATCGTAGAGACAAAAAGTAGAATGGTGATTGCAAGAGATGAGGGGAGGGAGGAAAGAGGAGCTATTGTTTAATGAGTATAAAATTTCAGCTTTACAACATGAAAAATGTTATAGAGATGAATAGTAGTAATTTTTTTTTTTTTGAATGGAGTCTCACTCTGTCCCCAGGCTGGAGTGCAGTGGCACTATCTCAGCTCACTGCAAGCTCCACCTCCCGGGTTCACACCATTCTCCTGCCTCAGCCTCCCGAGTAGCTGGGGCTGCAGGCACCTGCCACCATGCCTAGCTAATTTTTTGTATTTTTAGTAGAGACAGGGTTTCACCATGTTAGCCAGGATAGTCTCGATCTCCTGACCTCGTGATCTGCCCACCTCGGCCTCCCAAAGTGCTGGGATTACAGGCGTGAGCCACCACGCCCGGCTGATGAATAGTAGTAATTGTTATACAACATTATGAAAGAAATCAATACCATTGAACTGTATGATAAAAAATGATTAAGATGGTAAATTTTATGTTATGTACTTTATCAGAATTTTAAGAACTGGAAAAAAATCCTGCTAAATAGCATGAAATGCCTTTAGACATTTGAGTGACTATGTAAAATAGGCAATTAATTATACCAATATGGTGGTCAGAGAAGTAGCTTGGACTGTGTATAGACATTTGTGTTGATGTTGCTATTATCTGGACTTCATTTATTATTGTTCATAACATTATATATATTATATTATATGTGTATTTTTTAAAGTCTCCATATCAATGACTCTGACTCCCTAAGGAAGAATAAACCATGTACCATAACATTAATGTTTAATAAGGTTAATCTAAATCAAATGACCATTCAGTGTTTAGAGTATTTTAGGAGAAATTTGAACATGATAATCCATCTATGTTCACTCTTTTCATTGTATTAAAGTTAGAATTTTTGACGTTGGGAAAAGGTGTTCAATTATAGTTGTTGAACAAGTAAACCAACCTAGTGCCATATGTAAAAAGCGGTTAATGGCATCACTAATGCACTCTTAACAAAATTCCAAATCAAATCCACAATGCCCAGAAATTGAGCCATTTCTGACACCATTGTGTCCCTCTGAACCCTTTTACATGAAATGTGTAGCTCTCAGGAGCCTGGGTATTTTACAGATCTTACCATTTTGTCCTCTCACTCTATGGATCATATTACTTGTCCAATAACTCTGGTGTTTATAAGAATCCTGAAAAAAATAATCAGAATATTTTTTAAAATTTTAATTGTCTCTAAAAAAATCAACTCTTCACGAGCTAATGCTGAAGTTTTCTGCATTTATTGAGGGAAGCAATCTCATGGCTACAAAATAAAGGGTGAAGTGTATACACACATGCACATGTATAAAATGGAAGATACTAAACTCATTTATGGAATTGAAACTTATGGAATTTTAGTCTAAAAACATATTTTCTTTTTCAGGGAAAAAAATGTTATAATGTAGTCTCTTTCCCTGGAGATTTAAACTCTAGAGTTAGTTTTGCCAATTAGCTATACATTCATGCTAAATTATTCAACCTTTCTGGGACTCTGTTTTCTCCTCTGTTAAACATTATGTTGATTAGATCAATGATTTCTTTCATGAGTGACACAGAAGAATTACTGAGGAACTGATTTTTAAAATTTGAGACCCAGACTCAGATCTCGTAAATCAAGTCGAGCCCCGTAAACTTATTATTATTATTATTGCTATCATTATTATTTTGAATTTCAAAGGTAACTGAAATGAGCAGCCCTTTTTGAGAATCCTAGACTATAAATTACTCCTGTTGTCTCTGGTTTCCAACATTTTAGCAGTCTAGAAATGTAAGAGAACATATGTATCACTATAATGTAAAATTACATGCTTCAGTTGCTTGGTTTCTTTTGAGTCCATGATATTTTCACCTTTTTGAAATGAAAATAATGATAACATTGAATGTTTATACATACAATTTGATTTGAACCAATTTTTCTAGGAAATATAGGGCCTACAAATGAGGGCTACGTGTGTGTGCAATGCCTGTATACTTTCAGTCACTAGGATTTTGAGACATTTAAAGCCATATAACTTCATAATTTCATTAATTTAATATTAATGCATTTGTTAAAATATATCATAGTTTAAAGAATGAATTATACCAATTCTGGAAGCCTAGTCTACTCAAAATTTTTAGATAATTTATTTTCAATTCATTTATCTGTGACAGCATATATGGAAATACATTTTTAAAAAAAAAAATGTAACTAATCTAACCTAGAGTATAATCCCCATATCTTCACTTGAGTTTGTTACAAGAGAGTTATTTAATTGTGCTGTCATCATCATTTTATATTTGCTCTAAAATCCACTAAAATTTTAATTAATTTAAATATAACTATTGAATCTACCATACTTTCATTTGTACCCAAATATGAACTACAATATTTTAGTCTACTGTGAAAGAAAATGTTATGTCCTTTATCCTTAAATCAGTTATGAAAAAAATCACATATTTGTGTATAAACAGCAGAGTATATATTGAATGATCAATTTGCTTCTCTGTGTGAAGAACAGACAGATCTAAATGTCTCGTGCATTCATAGAAATAAAGAATTACTTGCATGGTATTTGAAAAGGTTGCTGAAGCTCCATGAGGTGGTCATCATTAAAGGAGAGCCCAAAATGAAAAGCTCTCAAAAATGTATTGGAAGAAAGGCATATTTTACTCTATTTAGCATTTATGCAGCGTTTTTGAAAAGTGCATTTTTATTAGAGTCTCCTCATAACAATCTCATGAGCTTCATCTTGTGGTATTATGCTCACTTAGAAATGGATAAATTAAAGACCAAAGAAGCCAGGCATTGCTCAAGGTCATGTGGTAGCCAGGCAGCAGAAGAAGCCCAAATTACCACTCTAAGACCTGACATTTTCATCATATTATTTTTCTTCCATGAACCATACTATCCATTTTTTCCTCAGAGAAAGCATTTTTAGCTACAATCAGAAATATAGCAGTTAGATGTAAGGTTGGTAAATTACAGACAACTATTTTCAAAAAGGCAAACAATGACAAACTGTCACAATATAATTTATGAGTCTAAAATCTGTCCTTAAGCTCATAGCAACACTTCTAATCACATACATAACAGCTTATTACTTTTAAGGTCATTTTGTACCTAGAATATCTGCTTCTTTGGGGGAAATTCAGAATAAACATGATTCCAAGACAGAAAATGATCATGCAAATTACAAAACAAGCAAAAAAGCAATGCTGAAAGTAAGTCAAGAAAACTAATAGAAAATGCTAGGTTTCTTAAATGTTAGAATAGTATATTTCCTAGGTTTTACCGTATCTAATATGACTTTATGATGTGTTAGTGATCCTGAAGTATTAATAGAGCACTAAGATAAATTCTAGTTTCTGCTGTGCCAAACAAAAATCCAAGAATGCCTGCCTATTAGCTTTATTCATTTATGGAAGAAGCATGACCATAGTAATGTTTCTTGTAATGGCACATTTTTATATTGATCTGAACAAATGTCTCTCTCAACTTTTGGCAGTACTCATATGTCTGCAAACACAGACCTTGAAATTATTTTTTGTTTGGGTATAGATGCTTTTCCATTTTGGATTCTAGTTTTATTTCTTAGAACAACTGTTTTTCCTGGGCCTAGTTTTATTCATTAGATAAGATGTGCCCTGGAGCAGGAAGACTGAAACAATTAGTCCTCATGGAATTACTTTTTACTCTTGATATTTCTTCACAGATTTTTATTATTGGGATAATGCTTTTCTATGCTTGATTGTGTTTTTTCTTTCCCTTCTCTGCATTTATTTTGGAAATTGCCAGCTCTTCACACAAATGTTGAACTATATAAAACTTAAAACATAGTTTCAAACAATAATGATGTGCCAAGCACATACCTCATGACTGGACTTTGATTTTCTAAAGGAGGATTTTTAGCCTTAGCACTACTGCCATCTGGGCAAAGATAACTCATTTTTATGGGAGAGGCTGTCCTATGCATGGTGAATTGTTTAGCAGCATTTCTGACTTCTTAGGAGATTCCAGGAACTCTATCCCTCTTCTCCCTATTCCCAAGTCCTGAAAATAAAAAATATCTCCCGACATTGATAGCAGCAGGAGGCAGACAAATCCCTAGGCAGATATGGGTGGGTCCCTGATGAAACCAGACCTTCAAACCAAAGACAGTTTAAAGCCTGAAAGCCAGGCTACAAGTCTCAGATAAATCCATGGATCAGATTGAGAACCTCTCTTCCCATTTAGTGTGCTTTTTCCCAGATTGATCCCCATTCCATCTACTTGAAATATATACCTACCCTTCCCTAATTGGTTTTTTACACTGTTGTGCCTAGCTTTGTGTGATGACTTTGTTTTAACCTTTTTTGCATACTCATAAACCAATCAGCACACACTCCCCTTTTCTGAGCCCGTAAAAGTCCTGGACTCAGCCACACTTTGGGACTACCCACCTTCAGGTGGGCGGGACTACCCAACTTTGGTTGGGAGGGACTACCTGCCTTTGGGTGGGGGACCACCCACTTCGAGTCCCCTCTCTATTGACAGCTGTTCTGTCACTCAATAAAACTTTTTTCCACCCTTTTCACCATTTGGTCGTCAGCATAACCCCATTCTTGTATGCTGGACAAGAACTCAGTACCCACCAAACACAGGTACAAGAAAGGCTGTAATACTGTAGCCCTCCATCCTGCGTGGGTGCCAGGCAGTCACTCCACATGATGGGAAACAACAGCGGGGCAGGTCAGCCCTGGAACTGCTGGCTGCAGTGGGGCAGAAGGACTGAATGAGCTGTAGCACTCTGTAACACTCACTTTAGGGCTTCAGGGTCACTGGCACTTCCGAGTTTTTCAAGCACCACTGTGTTCTCCTCATCCACTTACCAGCACCCAAGGCAAAGCAGATTGCTGCATGCCCATCCCAGCTGTGGGTGGAATGTGAGCTTGGGATCTAGACCAGAGCAGAAGGCAGGTGTTCCCTGCTTTTGTCCTATATCGTCAGATTAAAGCATTTTCTCTACATAATAAGAGTAAAATGGGTTTGAAGGTTGAATGACAACAGTGTTACTACCACTGTTTTTAATTTGAGATATAATAATACATCTATTTTATACATTGGGGTGTTGAGTTTAAGATTTGTAATAATTTAATGCTAAGGATCTGTGCTTATAACATGAGGTTTAAAAATGAAAAATAATAGCTATTAAACCAATAAAACAAGACATGCCAAAAGTTATTCTTCAAAATAATTTAATAAACATGCTGCTCTAGGAGGGCCAGATCCATCATATATACAGCTGTTAACTCAGTAGGCCCTTGTTTATGCTTTTATATGCCAGAAAAAAAAATCATTTATCAACGAATGGTTGTAATCTAATAGTCTGATATTTATACATTTACCCAAATAAAAATATATGCCTCTGTGTATGTGTGTCTGTGTGTAGAGTCAACATTACCCAAGTAAAAATGTATGTCTCTGCGTATGTGTGTCTGTGTGTATAGTCAACATTTAAGTATAGAAAAGTTACAGTTAAATTTTTAATTTATGGCTTTCTTTTTACAAAAATACAAAAGTCTGGCAATATTGAACTGATACCTTCACTAAGTATCTATAAGCTGGAACGAAACAACAGCTATACCCCTTATAAAGATGGGGCAAGTGAGTTTTCCAGCTTGACAGTATCTCCTTCACTGATACTGTCATATACCTGTCTATTTGCAGATTTAAGTTACCTACTAGTCCCTGTAAACATTTGTGTAAGCCCAATTTCTTCTCTGGAAAACCTCTAAATCTGATCCAAGAATACAAGCAGCAACAATAAAATTAATATCCAATAAGAAATTTTCTTCAGCCCTTGTAGTGATTCCTTATATTTGATAAGTTAATATGCCAGAGCCTATGACTTTGGTATATTAATTTATTTTCTATTATTTTATTGTATGCTTTATCAATTGTGTAACATGTATTATTTCAGTCATAGGTCAACAATATTTATTGAATACCTATTATGTGCCAGGGATCGCATATATGTCTTTCACTGTAATGTGTCTGTAATTTCTTTTTGGAAGATACGGATAATCAAATATAGCCCAGAAATAAAGCATTCAGCCAATAGTTTTTGAATTGGACAGTTGACAATATTCCTGTTTTTTCACTCCTTTCCAAAATTGCTTAAAGCCACTGCCACAGTCTTAATATCCCGAATATGTTCACCTCAGAGAACAAACTGGAACTAATCTGTGTGGCTCTGATATGACTTGTTAAATGGCAAGGTCATGTCTGAAACAGTCCGCTTTCCTTGAGTGCACCTTCTTGGTGAGCCCCTTGGGCATGTCAAATTCAATTTATTGAACACTGACATAGAAGGTTCAGACACTTCACTGTTATACAACAATATATTTTCTAAATGTAATTGTATTAGTTACCCAAACTGTGCAGAAATAATTAACATGTAGTTTTAACTTAAAAGATAATGTCAGTGTGTTTTATCTGTGCCTGTAAAACCTGAGTTTAACATTATAAATTTGCTGAAAATTTCAGTTATTACTGTGTAGAATGCACAATTTCAAGAGAAGTCACTCAAATGCTCTCAATGTCATATTCTATCAATACTTAGGATACTAGCTAAAACATTGTCAAAATATAGAAAACAGTAATCCAGTAATATTCATCTTTGCATCTCCAGAGTCCAGCATAATTTCTGTCTCACTGTAAATGCTCCAAAAATTTGCTAAATATGTTAGTGATCTTGAAAATGTATCACCCATGGCAACATTTTTTAGCTTAGAATCTAAATCAGTATCATACCCTTAGTATGGAATACCTTTGGTTCATTCCTAACCGAGCTTTTGCAGCTCTATTATTATTAATATTTTCTATTGAATTAGAATTTTTAATTTTATAGATGTGAATGTTATTATAATATTAGAAACTTGAAGGCAAAAAATATTGTTCGTTTATGTACCATTGCCATTTAAAAGGGTAGTATACAGAAAAAGCTCCACTTAGTATTTATGAGCTTGCTTTCTGAATCTCCTGTGAGGATATACTTATTCACTCTTTTTTGTTAAACTTATTCAAAAAATGTTTATTGAATATAGTGTACCAGGTACTACTATGTATGCTTATTATGCATTGGTATACATACTAGAAAAACATTTCTGTGCTTTGAAGTCTGCATTGTAGCAGATGAAGGAAATAAAAATAGAAAAATATGGTTAATTTTTTTGTGTAAACTTGAATGGGCTAAGGGATGGGTCAGATGGAAGGAAAAGCATTATTTCTAGATGTGTCTGCAGAGTTCTTTTGGAAGAGTAAAAGAACTCTTTTTGCAGAGTGTACCCTGAGTAAAAAAGATCTCATTCACTAATGTGGGTAGGTAACACTGATGTGTTGAGGGCCTGAATAGAATAAAAAGGTGGAGGAAAGGTAAGTTTACTCTCTGTGCTTTGAGCTAGGATGCCCCTCTCCTGCCCTGAGGTATTTGTGCTTCTGATTCTTGGGCCTTCAGATTTAGATGAGGATTTATGCCATTGGCTGCCTGGCTTTCTGGCCTGTGGGTTTGAACTTTTAAACTACGCTATTAGCTTTCATGGGCCTGCAGCTTGCATATAGCAGATCCTGAGGCTTCTCAGTTTCCATCTCATGAGTCAATTCCTCATGATAAATCTATCTTTTTCTCTTTGTCATTTGGTTTTCTTTCTTGGGAGTCTTCTAAATAATACATATTGTCATTGAATAATATGGTTATGATTTGTGTCCTCACCCAAATATCATCTTGAATTATAATCCCTATAATCCTCATAACACCCACGTTTTAAGAGAGATACCAGGTGGAGGTAATTGGATCATGGGGGCAGTTTCTCCTTGCTGTTCCCAAAATAGTGAGTGAGTTCTCACGAGATCTGATGGTTTCATAAGGGGCTCTTCTCCCTTCTCTCAGCACTTCTCCTCCTGCCACCTTGTAAAGAAGGTGCCTTGATTTCCCTTTGCCTTCTGCCATGATGATAAATTTCCTGAGGCCTCTGCAGTGATGCTGAATTATGAGTCAATTAAACATCTATCCTTTATAAATTTCCCAATCTTAGGTATTTTCTTTTAGCAATGTGAGAATGGACTAATACACACTCCTATGAGTGTTTGTGTGGATAGATAGATAGATAGATAGATAGATAGATAGATAGGTATTTGATTTATGGTGATTTATGATTTGATAAGAGTGATTTATGATTTGATAAATATTTGATTTATGGCTTTTTCTTTACAAAAATACAAAAGTTTGCCAAGATTGAACTGATACTTTAAGTATCTATAAGCTGAAACTAAATAACAGCCATACCACTTATAAAGATGGGGCAGGTGAGTTTTCCAGCTTGACAGTATCTCCTACACTGATATTGTCATATACCTGTCTGTACATTTAAGTTACCTACTAGGCCCTGTATACATTTGCATAAACCCAATCTCTGCTTAGGAAAACCTCTACATCTGATCCAAGAATAAAAGCAGCAACAATAAAATTAATATTCAACAATAAATTTTCTTCCGTTTCCTTGGATGCTTCCTTATATTTGATAAATATTTATATATTACATGATACTTTTTCTCAGGTGGTCAGAAATGATAGATATAAATTTAAGTAAATATACCCAAAAATGTGAAAGCAACATTGGAACTGGATAATGAGCAGAGGTTGAAACAGTTTGGAGGGCTCTGAAGAAGACAGGAAGATGTTTGGAGTTTGGAATTTTGGAATTTCCTAGAGACTTGTTTCATGGCTTTGACCAAAAGGCTGATAGTGCTGTGGACAATGAAGTCCAGGCTGAGGTAGTCTCAGATGGAGATGAAGAACTTATTGGGAAATGAAGCAAAGGTCACTCTTGCTAAGCTTTAGCAAAGAGACAGGCAGAATTTTGGCCCTGCCCTAGAGATTTGTGGAACTGTGAACTTGAGAGAGATGATTTTGTGTATCTGGTGGAAGAAATTTCTAAGCAGCAAAGCATTTAAGAGGAAGCAGAGCATAAAAATTTGAAAAATTTGCAGTCTGACAATGCCACAGAAAAGAAAAACCCATTTTCATGGGATAAATTCAAGCCTGCTTCAGAAATTTGCATAAGTAACGAGGAAATGAATGTTAATCACCAAGACAATGTGGAAATGTCTTCATGGCATGTCAGAGATATTGGTGGCAGCCTTCCCGTTACAGGCCCAGATGCCTTGGAAGAAAAGGAAGAAAAAATGGTTTTGTAGGCAGGGCCCATGGTCCCCCAGCTCTGTGCAGTCTCAGAACATGGGGCCCTGCATCCCAGCTGCTTCAGTGTCAGTCATGGCTAAAAGATGCCAGGTATACCTTGGGCCATTGCCTCAGAGGGTGCAAGCCCCAGCCCTTGGCAGCTTCCATGTGGTGTTGAGCCTGTGTGTGCACAGAAATCGAGAAATGAGGATTGAGAACCTCCACTTAGATTTTAGAGGATGTATGGAAATGCCTGAATGTCCAGGCAGAAGTTTGCTGCAGGGGCAGAGACCTCATGGAGTACCTCTGCAAGGGCACTGCAGAAGGGAAATGTGGGGTCAGAGCCCCCACATAGAGTCCCCATTGGAGCACTGCCTATTGGAATTGTGAGAAGATGGCTACTGTCCTCCAGATCCCAGAATGGTAGATGCACCAACAGCTTGCACTGTGCACGTGGAAAAGCTTCAGACACTCAATGCCCGTCAGTGAAAGCAGCTGGGAGGGTGACTGTACCCTGCAAAGCCACAGAGGTGTAGCTGCCCAAGGCTATGGGAATCCACCTCTTGCATCAGTGTGATCTGGATGTGAGACACGGAGTCAAACAAGAGATCATTTTGGAACTTTAAAGTTTAATGACTACCCTATTGGATTTTGGACTATTGTTACATTCTGGAACCAATATTTCTTCACTATGATTAAACCTTTAAAATTGAAAATAAAATATATTATAGGTATAAATGATATACCTAATATTTCTGTGTATTCTATTTATGTTTTCTTATGTTTTAGGAAGATATAAAGCGTTGAACATCTTTAATTTGTGAAGCTCCTCTTATTCACAAAATTCCCCTAACATGTCCTATCCCTGTGACAATAGTGCTAAAAGCCTTTTCCTGTGAACAGCTGGATCCTTTCAGTTAGAAGCTTTACAGGTTAGGACTTTAAATACATCAATCTTTTCTCAATCTGGTATTGGCATTTTGCTGTGTATTCCTAACTCACTTTGTCACCAAAGCCACAATTAGTGACTTAAGTTTAAAATCAATTCTGTTCACCCACAGTTAAGATGCCTGGTAATGTACTATTTTCATGCAGAGTTTATGCCACTGATCAATGGCCTTTTGCCATGATAAGTGAAATTGAAAGGATTTAAAAGGAAATGTCCTAAAATTGTATCAATAATAGAGAAACTACCAACCAAAATAAAAGCTTTGAACCAGATGGATTCACAGTCCAATTCAAGCAGACATATAAAGAACGGATACCAATCCCAGTGAAGCTATTCCAAAAAATCAAAGAGGAGGGGCTACCCCCTAATTTATTCTATGAAGGCAGCATCAACCTGATACCATTATATGGCAGACACACAGTGAAAAAAGAAAACTTCAGACCAATTTCCCTCAAGAACATATTAAGTTGGTGGAAAAGTATTTGCAGTTTTTGCTGTTACTTTCTTTTCTTTTCGTTTTTGAGATGGAGTCTCCCTCTGTTAGCCAGGCTGGAGTGCAGTGGCATGATCTCGGCTCGCTGCAACCTCCACCTCCCAGGTTCAAGTAACTTTCCTGCCTCAGCCTCCCAAGAAGCTGGGACTACAGGCGAGTGCCACCATGTCCAGCTAATATTTTTTTTTGTATTTTTAGTAGAGATGGGGTTTCGCCAGTTTGGCCAGGCTGGACTGTAACTCCTGACCTCAAGTGATCCACCCTTCTCGGCATCCCAAAGTGCTAGCATTACAGCTGTTAGCCAACACCCTCAGCCAGTTTTTGCTATGACTTTCAATGGCAAAACCACAATAACTTTTGCACCAGCCTAATAGATACACAAATCCTCAACAAAAAGTACTAGCAAATCAAATCCAGTAGCATATCAAAACGTTAATACACGACAATCAAGTAGGCTTTATTTCTGGGATGCAAAGCTGGTTCAACATACAGAAATCAATAAATGCGATTCACCACATAAAAAGAATAAAAAGCAAAACCCACATTATCATCTCAATAGATGCATACAATTTTTTCAGTAAAGTCCAACAGCCTTTCTTGATAAAAACCCTCATCAGACTAGGCATCAAAGGGACATATCTCAAAATTGTAAGCACCATCTATGACAAGCCTATAGCCAACATTATAATGAATAGCCAAAAGCTTGAACTATTTGCCTTAAGAACTGAAGCAACACAAGGACACCCACTCTCATGACTCCTATTCAACATAGCACTAGAAGGCCTAGCCAGGACAATTAAGCGAGAGAAATCATTAAAAGGCATCCAAATATGAAAAGAAGATGTCAAACTATCTCTCCTCACTAAACATGTGTTTCTATACCTAGACAATCTTAAAGATTCTGCTATAAAGTTTCTAGAATTGATAAACAAGTTTAGTCAAGTATTAGGATACAAAATCAATGTACAAAAATAAGTAGTATTTCTACACACAAACAATGTCCAGGCTGAAAGTAAAATGAAGAACATAATCCCATTTAAAATAGCCACAATGAAAATGAAATACCTAGGAATATAGCTAACCAATGAGGAGAAAAATCTCTACAATTAGAATTACAAAACACTGCTGAAAGGAATCAGAGATGACACAAATATATGAAAAAAATACTGTGTTCATAGATTGGAATAGTCAATATCATAAAAATGACCATACTGCCCAAAGCAATTTACAAACTTAATACTATTCCTCTCACACTACCAACATTATTCTTCACAGAATTAGAAGAAAACTATTCTAAAATTTAATATGAAACCCCAAAAGAGCCCGAATAGCCAAGCACTTCTAATCAAAAAGAACAAAGCCAGAGGCATCATAGTATCTGACTTCAAACTGTACTGTAAGGCCACAGTAAGCAAAACACCTTGTTCCTCGTTCAAAAAGACACATAGACTAAAATAACGTAATACAAAGCTCAGAAATAAAGCTGCACACCTACAACCGTCTGATCTTTGACAAGACTGACAAAAACAATGATATAATGACTGCATATTCAATAAATGGTGCTGAGATAAGTGTCTAGATATATTCAGAAGATTGAAGTGGACCCTTTTATTTCACCGTATACAAAAATTAACTCAAAATGGATTAAATATTTAAGATCTCAAGCTATAAAATCCTGGAAGACAACCTAGGAAATACTGTACTCGACATTGGCATTGGCAAACAAGTTTTGGCTAAGTCCTCAAAAGCAATTGCAACAACAACAAAATAGACAAGTAGGGCCTAATTAAACTAACGAGTATCTGCTCAGCAAAAGAAACTATCAACGGGGCAAACAGCCAACGTACAGAATGGGAAAAGATATTGGCAGGCTATGCATCTAACAAAGGCCTTATATCTAGAACCTATAGGGAACTGAAACAAATCATCAAGCAAAAAACAAAGAACCCTATTGAAAAACAAGCAAAGGACATGAACAGACACTGCTCATAAAAAGACATACTAGTGTCTAACCAACATATGAAAAAATGCTCTGCATCGCTAACCATCAGAGAAATACAAAGTAAAACTGTAGTTAGATATACCATCTCATGCAAGTCATAATGGCTATTACTAAAAAGTGAAGGAACGACAGATGCTGATGAAGCTGCAGAGAACAGGAAACATACCCTGTTGGTGGGAGTGTGGATTAGTTCTGCCACTGTAGAAAGCACTTTTCAAAGAACTTAAACAGCTACCATTTGACCCAGCAATCCTATGACAGAGTATATACCCAATAGAAAATAAATCATTCCACCAAAAAGACACATGCGTTCATATGTTCATCACTGTGATAGTCACAATAGTAAGAAACATGGAAATAACCCAGGTGCCAATTAATAGTAGACTGGATAAAGAAAATGTGGTAGATATAAACCACGGTATACCATGAAGCCATAAAAAAAGAATGAAGTCATGTCATTTGAAACAACGTCGATGGAATTGGAGGCCACATCCTAAGCAAAGTAATGCAGGAACAGAAAACCAAATACTACATGTTTTCATGTATAAGTGGGAGCTAAGCATTAAGCACACACAGACATACATATGGGAACAATAAAGACTATCAATTACAAGAAGGTAGGGTGGTTTAAAAACTACATTTTGGGTACTATGCTCACATATCTGGGTGAAGGGATCTGTAATCCAAACATCAGCACCATGCAATATTCCCATGTAACAAATTTGCCCATATAACCCTTCTATCTAAAATGAAAGTTGGAAAAAAAGAGAAAAGGCTGAAATCTTGTTGTGATGCCAATGCTACATAAAGGTGGCAACACAATTAATAGTGCTATTCATGAATTGCTTAGCGACAGAACATTTTATTTTTGAACATTTTGGTATTTTTGTACTAAAAAATCATGAAATATGTAAGTTACAGATTTTATTTTGCTTTAAACCTAGAGTAAAATAAACACTTTATTTTTCTAAATAAAGATAACCCTACTTTTCTAAATCATATTTAATCTAACTTTAAAATACCAATTCTACTGTGGTGAAAATATCAATCTCAGTTATCCCTATGATTTCCATTACTTCTTGTAAGAATCTCATACTTAAAAGATTCAAACAGTTGGAAAAGATCCTTCTTGTTTTTAATCTACAAAGTTTAGTCATGTATTAGTTTTTCCAAATCCACATAGACTTGCAAATTTGGTTGGCTCTATGATGTTATGCTAAACTGAAACTAGATGGAAACCCTTTTTCTCAAAATGAGTCCCCCTAAATTAGCAGCTCTATCTTGAGAATGTTTTCCCTTCCCCTGTTCTATTCCTGCTGTGTCCACCTTTCCTAGTAAATCTCTCCATTCAGGCTTTCTGTGGAAGAATACAAAACATCTTCTTTCTACTGTTCTTTACAAACAAAATGTGGGTATGTTGGTCCCATTTTTATGTAGAGTGAAGAATACAGACATAATTGTTTTTTCTCATTATATCTATACATATGTGTATACTAATATCATCTCATTTCTTAAAATTTGATATATTGATTCTGATTTTGTCTTCTATGACCACCACTTTCTGAACTCCTTTCCCTCTTCCTTGTGTTGCTAATCATGTGGGCTTATTTTTACTATAAAATTAATCCAATGAATGAACAAGACCCTAGAAAAAACAGAAACCTGTATGGTATACCATAGATGCTGATAATAAGAGCCCCTGATGTTGGAGAACTGTCCTCACAGCTAGATCTCAACATTAAATGTATTATTATAAACTGATCTAGCATTCACAGGTAGGCTTCAATGTTATTCCAAAGTGATATGAGGCTTACAGGTATATAATATTGTCATACTGTTGGACATAAGCAATATTACAGAACAGCTATAGCAAATGAAGTCACTCTGTGATCATGAAAAAGAGAAAAAATGAGATCAATGTGCAGCCCATAAAATACCAAACATTCCTTTCCCTCACTAAAGTAGTAGTGACTACTACTTCTCACGTAATCACAGGTTCATTCTTGTTCTGATTACCTCTCCCTATAGATAAGATTTATTGAATTCCTGGTTATAAAGTTGAAGCCACTTTCTGACAACACCCAATCAACAGCAAAGCCCCACATTTATCCAACCAAATCAAAAACTCTACAACAAATTCTTTTTAAGACTGTCCTTCTGGGATGCCCCATGGTTCTCTATGGTGTATATTCTCCCTCACTGCTATCAATAGTAAACTCAATTTATTCAATTATATAAGTTCCTGGGTGATTCTTGACTGAGGGACATTTACAATGTAAATCACTGTATTATTCCAAACCGAGAAATAAGCCATTGTTAATTTTACAAGGGAATCATTGAGCATTCAGTGAGATCAATCTCCAAGTAATCCCTCTGCCAGAAAAATTGCACCATGCAATCCATTCTACAAACTAACGATTTAGCTGTCTAAAATAAAGTCATAAATATGTTACTTCCATGACAATTTGACTTCTAGAATTTAACATTGCACACAGTAGCATTGCTCCTAATATGCTATTCAACATCTATATGCTGGAAAGTTATGAATACAAGTTACAGAAAATTTATAAATATGTTGATGGTAATCATTAAATTGAAGAATAATATGTTTATAAGTAAAATGCACAAATCTCGAGCCTACAGCTTGATATATTTTTACAAAATGAATATGTTTGTGTAACCACATCAAAATATAGACGGGTACCCAAATTTTTGAAGCTTCCTTCAGGTACCCATCCCAATGTAACCCCTATTCTGTAACCCCTATCTAGAAAGATAACCCCTATTCTGAATTCTATTATTAACATACAATTAAAATTTTCTATTTGTTTTGTCTGTTTTGAATGTTTATAAATAAAATGAATTTTTTTAATTTTTTTTGTCTCTAGCTTCTTTCATTCAAATATAATGTCTATAAGCTCCATCTATGTTCCTCTATGAAGCAGCGATTTGTTCATTTAACTGTTGTATAATATGCCATTCTATGAAAATAGTACAGTGTATTTTTCCATTCTACTTTTGATGCTACTTATTATCAGCATTTATGGTATACCATAGAGGCTTCTGGTTTTTCTAGAGTCACATTAACTCATCTGAATAATTTGATAGTAAAAATAAACCCTCATGATCAGCAACACAAGGAATAGGGAAAGGAGTTCAGAAAGTGGCGGTCATGGAAGACAAAACCAGAATCAATATATCAAATTTTAAAAGTACGTTGGGTTATTCTCAGTTTGAGGCTATTGCTAATAATGTTTACATATTTGTATACATGTTGTTGTTTATGTGGGTATACTTACGTTAAATATAGACCCATGGATGGAATCACTGAATCTTAGGTTTTGTGTACATTCAGCATTAGAAGGTAATGCTAAAGAGTTTTTGGCAGTGTTTTTTATTTGTTTGGGTTTGGTTTGGTTTGGTTTAGTTTATCTGAACCAATTTTACCTTCATACAGGTTTATGTTATAGTTACTTCACAATGCCAATCATTTTCTTCTAATATCTGTGTTTTTAACTTTAGCTATTCTAGAAAATGCATAATGGAATTTCATTGTGGATTTGGACTTTATTAATAAAAAGTTGAGTATATGTTCATATAGTAATTGACATTTTAGTACTTCTCGAAGTATTTCTTTAAGTATTTTCCCACTTCGTATTGGTTGTCTTTACTAATTTTTTATTTGTAAGAGTTTTTTATGTGATCTTTTTGAGATTTGAAAGAATAATATATTCTGTGATTGTTGAGTACAATGTTCCATTTAAACCAGTTGCATAAATGTTGTTAGTTGTATAGTTCAAATCTCTTGTATATCTCCTCATTTATTATACGATTTTTTTGTTATGGAAAGTCATGTTTTAAGATATTCAGCTTCAGTTATGAATGCAACTTTTTTCTATTTAATTATGCTTGTTTTGTTTTATACATTCTAATTCTGCTGTAGTAAGTAGACACAAATTTAGAAAAGGTTTTATTATCTTCTTGGATATATTAGAGTTATTTTTGTCCAAAACTATATATTTACTCTTCATTTTAAAAAGATATTTTTACTGTGTATTAAATTCTATCTAGATTGACAGTCTTTTTCCTACACTTTTTAGATGTGATCCCAAAGTCATTTGTCTTACATTGTTTGTGATGATAAATCAACTGTCAGACTTATTGCTATTCCTTTTAAAGGAACATATCTTTTCTTAATTTGGTGCTGCTTTGAACATTACCCTGATGCCCCTTTTCCTTTATAGTTAAACAGTTTTATTATAATGTTTCTAGGACTTTTAATTTTTTTTTATTATACTTTAAGTTTTAGGGTACATGTGCACAACGTGCAGGTTAGTTACATATGTATGCATGTGCCATGATGGTGTGCTGCAACCATTAACTCGTCATTTAACATTAGGTATATCTCCTAATGCTATCCCTCCCCCCTCCCCCCACCCCACAAAAGGCCCCGGTGTGTGGTGTTCCCCTTCTGTGTCCATGTGTTCTCACTGTTGAAATCCCGCCTATGAGTGAGAACATGTGGTGTTTGGTTTTTTTGTCCTTGCGATAGTTTGCTGAGAATGATGGTTTCCAGGACTTTTAATTTTTTAAAAATCATTTTCAGTGTTTAAAGCAGGTCTTGAATTTGTGGCTTGATATCATCTACACTTTTGGAAATCCTTAGACCGTATCTCTTCAAATATTGCTTTTGCTTCATTCTTTTTAACTTCTGTAGTAATATTCCAATTGAATGTACAGTAATAATTTTTTCATAACTTGTATTGCATTTCATGTATTTTCTTTGGATTTATTAACCCTTTTTTCTATGCACTACAAATTGTATTGTTTTACACGTATTAAATTTTTATCTTTTGGAATACTAAACCACTTTCTGGACATATACAAATGCCTTTAATGCATATATTAAATTATTTGAGTTATTGTACTTTTAAGTTCTCATTTTTTTATATGTTTGTTTATTATAGGTTACAGTCCTCTAATAAGTTGTTTTATCTTTTTCACATGTTAGTAATAGATATATTAAAACTTATTTGTGGCCAGGCCCGGTGACTCACGCTTGTAATCCCAGCACTTTGGGAGGCCGAGGTGGGCAGATCATGAGGTCAGATGATCTAGACCAGCCTGGCCAACACGGTGAAACTCCCTCTCTACTAAAAATACAAACATTAGCTGGGCGTGGTGGCACGTGCCTGTAATGCCAGCTACTCGTGAGGCTGAGGCAGGAGAATTGCTTGAACCAGGGAGTCAGAGGTTGCAGTGAGCTGAAATCGCGCCACTGCACTCCAGCCTGGTGACAGAGTGAGACTCCGTCTCCAAACAACAACAACAAAAACAACAACTTATTTGTACTAATGCTAATATCTGGATTACTGCAGATTTATCTATTGTCTGTTAATTTTTTTCTAGGACTTCAGCTTTTAGTATATTATTGTTATAACATGCCTGATAATTTTGAGAGGTGAAGCCAGCTGGACTTCTTGGGTCGAGTGAGGACATGGAGAACTTTTCTATCTAAAGGTTTGTAAACACACAAATCAGCACTCTGTAAAAACGCACCAGTCAGTGCTCAGTGTCTAGCTAAAGGTTTGTAAATGCAACAATCGACACTCTGTAAAAATGCACCAATCAGCGCTCTGTGTCTTGCTAAAGATTTCTAAACGCACCAATCAGCACTCAGTAAAAACAGACCAATCAGCACTCTGTAAAATGGACCAATCAGCGCTCAGTAAAATGGACCAATCAGCAGGACGTGGGTGGGGCCAAATAAGGGAATAAACGCTGGCCACTGGAGCCAGCAGTGGCAACCCGCCGGGTTCACCTTCCATGCTGTGGAAGCTTTGTTCTTTCCCTCTTCGCATTTATTATAAATAGAAGGGTTAGTTTGATATCAATCATCCAGCTACAACTTCATATAATTAGCTATTAATCATATTCTGTGCAAACATAATCTCAGAGTTGGCTACAGAAGTCAACATTAGGAATCCAGGATCTTTCTAGTCTAAAATCTTAGTGTTGGATTTGGCGTATAGACTTGCCACCTCATGGTTAATAAGATAACTGCTGTAGCCTCAGCTATAGTGTCCTCGTGTAATCAAATCCAGGACAGGAATAGAATTAAAAAAAAGACAAAGAGAAAAAGGATTTTCACTTTGTAAATTTATCTCCTTTGATAGAATCAAGATTCCAATATTCCTGGAAATTTCTAGAGGACTTTCTTAAAATAAAAATTTTAGGTCCTCTTTTAAGCCAATAATTAGCAAAGAAGAATGGCCTGCTCTAATTAGTTTAGACGAGTTATAATTTATTCACTAGGCTAAGCAATTTGCAAGTGACTGAATATTGGATTCAATTAGCAGAGAAGAAACGAGGATGACTATCCATTAGACAAGCCGGCTGTGACAGAAACCACATTATATACTCAATTCATTTTTCAAATAGCATCTTCTAATCTTACCACCATGTTTCCTATTTTCTGGTTCAGAATTTCTCAGCGTTGAGACTATTGACACTTGGGGCCAGATCATTCTTGTTGTGGGCCTGTCCTGGGTACTGTGAGGTTTACCAGCATCCCTGGAATCTACCTACTAGATGCTGGCAGCATACCCCAGATCATTTGAGAAAACAAAAATGTCTCCAGATATTGCCAAATGTTCTCTGGAGGGCAAAAATGCCCCCTGTCGAAGGCTATTGATATAGGTGTTTTCAGGAGAAGGAAATGAAAAGTGGATAATCTCCATTCTGGTGCAGTTTAAGTACAAGAATTAAGAGTGATAACAGTTTCTGGAATCCAAATATCACATTGTATGTACCTGAGGACATGACAGAAGTAAAAAACCCACAAATATAGAACATATGAAACATCTGTATTTAAAGACACACCCACACACACACAACTGTGAACTGGTGTTCATTAGGAAAAGAGTAACTGAATAAATATATTTAATATATTTCTTGTTGGAAATACAGGTATAACATCAAGAACATAAAATCAAATGTATAAATTATACATGCAAATATTGTTTTGCTAAAATATCTTTAAAATAAGTCATTTTAGATTGAAATGATTTTAGAACTGAATGCAGAAATTGAACATTTGTGAATGAGTATATAAAATATTTATACAGAATCCACATTCTATGCCAATGTTTTCAATTGTTATTCCATGATGTTTGCACCTGTAGCTCAAAACCGCATATAAATTCCAAACAAATACTATTGTATTTTGAATGTGTTCTCAATTTTCAGTATATATTAAAACATTTTTTCCTGCATCACTAGTTTTACATTTTGTGTTAAGTGCACCTACCTTTCACCACAGGCTGTATTCATGCTTAGTAAATCAATTTTATCAATAAGAATTCTTCCTTGCTCAAATTTAATTTATGAAATAAGACAACAAACCCCAAGGACTATATGCAGCTATTGAGAATTTCATTTATTCTGTTCAAATAGCATTCTTCAATTACATTCCATCATTTATGTGAAATTTTTAAGGGAGATGACAATAAAAAACACAACCAATTCAAAAGTACACAGAAGTTAGTTTTCAAGTTTCTGTAGCTAATTACAATTTTACTCTTATAAATTACACTCCTCTGTCTCCATGGTTATTTAGCTTTAAACAGCTTCCTGCTTACACTAGGAAGAAAAGCTATCAAATAGTAAATTTTCCTATTCTTCCTTCTGCCCCAAGGCGGTGAATTTCCCAGGAGCCAATCCACTGGAGACTTTCAGCTTGCAATGGCTTTTGAATGTTCTCTTTTACTCTTGTCCCACTCCAGTGGTTGTTCCGTGAAGCTACTTCTTTCATCTGATCCTCTATGATCATTTGCTATTAAAGGGTTATAGCAGGGGATGAATTAGTCAATCTTTCTCCCTAAAACTTGAGTAGAAGCAACTCTTCTTAGAACAAAACAGAAGAAAATTTACTCAAATCTAAAATGTATTACTTTTATTTACAACAGCATATTACTTACATTATTTTGATGATTGCATGGCTGTCATTTTGTCCTATATGAATTTAACCAAAATTATACTAAACAAATGTTAAGTAGTTAAAACATATTCAATATATATTCCCTCATTTTAATGAAAGAAAAATCTAATTTAGATTCAAATGGCCTAAAAGTTATAGAAATGTTAAAATGCTAGTTTAAAACTTTTAAACTCTAAAAGTGCACAGTTTTGCCATACCAGAATCAACATATGCTAATATTTATTCATAACAAAACAATATGCAGTTTAAACAAGTTTAGAAACAAATTGACTTCCTAAATATTCAAATGCTATTTTTTTGCACTGGTATAAATACTGACAAATAGGTAGGTACTTACATGCGTAGACAATATTGTCACTTACCCTTGACAAAGTACTATTTTATTCTGTAAAATTTAATGCTAAGAATCTTAGGTTCACAAAAAGATGAAGATAATTTTAAAATATTAATTTTTACATTTTGTGTTATGTGCACCTACCTTTCACCACAGGCTATATTCATGCTTATTAAATCAATTTTATCAATAAGAATTCTTCCTTGCTCAAATTTAATTTATGAAATAAGACAATAAACCCCAAAGGACTATATGCAGCAATTTGAAACTGGAATTTTCAAATTGGAAAGGACTATAATGTAGTGGTCAATATAAATTTTCAAGTGCGTTATATTTTTATTAGAGTAGACTCAATAAGTAAAAATAGTGAGATAAAATTTACAACTGTTAAAGAACAGTATTTAATGCATTTAAAGTGAGTAATTGTTGGAATCAATTTGCTATGGAATTTAGATTCTACTGTATACATTTTACAGTAATGAACAGTTTTTTTGAATGTCCTTTAAAAATGCTATTCTATCTTTTTTTATGAATTAAACATAAAAATATACGAATCAATGTAATAACATAGAAAGACAGATAAAAGTATTTCAACATTGCTTGTGGAAGGCATAAGTGAAAAAATGTTGAAGACCTTTGTATGAAGTCTCCCAAACTGTCTGTACTATCTCTCATATGTATCACAACTGCCAGCTGTTCTCCATTCCCATTTCTCTAGAGCCTTATTTTGGGTCCACATTATCTCATTTCTCAGGTTGATTATTAATATGTCTCACAGGAACATCCCTGCATCCTTGCCAGAAAAAAAAATTTGTGTGAAAAATATAAAAAGATGACCATATTATTTGATAATCAATCCTTTACTTTTTTGAAAGCATTTTCCCCTTTTCAAAAATAATTCTGTATGAATACCTAGTTATGAATCTGTGTTATGTATTTTGTTTTAAAGCCATAGCAATGGGTTAAATTGAGGAATGATCCCTAAAACTATACCTGTTTTTCCTTCTTCTCACACAATCTAGCAGCCCTTAGAGGCTTTGGGGAATAGATAGATTCTATGAAATATAATTTGAAAACCACTCTTTATACTGATTTGAAATCTAACCTTTGAGAGCTATATGAGAACTTTCATAATCTGACTCCAGGGATATATTCTATTTCATCTTTGTTACTTCACCTGATAAGCCTCTGTCACAGCCATGCATTAAAGGTTTTATTTTCCAAAACATGTTGCTGTGCTGTGCAACTCTTGGACTCTATAAGTGCTTTTCCTCTGCTGAAAATGTCATATTCTTCCTTGTCCTCTATCCTAAATTTTCATTAATACTCATTGCAAATATCTGATGGGACTTCCCTGGTGTATATGTATAATGTATACATATGTGTATATGTATAATGTGTGTGTGTGTGTGTGTGTGTGTGTGTGTGTGTGTATATATATGAGTTAAATATACTTCTCTTTTTACTCCTTCCAAACCATGTTTGTAAGTACATTCTTGGATTTACCATGCTTTTGTTTTTAATCTTCATCTTCCTTGCTACTTCAGATTTCCTGAAAGAATTATGTTCTAATTATCTCTGTGTTTCTAGCAACTAGTAGAGTTCCAGATACTTAGTAAACACTTAATAAATGCCTAAATAATCATGTAAATTTTGACTTCAAAAGGCAGTATAATTTAATTTAAGGAAATTCTCATTATTATTAATTTACTTACTCTTATATAGCCTATAAGATAATCAATATCTCTAACTAATAATATACTACAAATAAAAAATACCAGACACTGTGCTGCAAGTTTTATGTGCACTAGTCATTTAATCTGGCCCATGATTATGAGGTAGGTACAACTATTAATGGCAATCACAGAGGAGCTTGAGGTATCTGCGGCTACCTAAATTTTACCCAAGGTCACATGGCTAGAAGTGACATCCTTGGAACTTAAACATATCATGTCAGACAACTGAACCTGCTTTTGCCAATACTGTCTACTCTATATTAGAGAAGACTGAGTTTATGCTATACTACAGATACCATTTATTTCAACAAAGATTCATAACAAAAGTTGCCAAAATACAATCACATTTGTCTTCAAGGTTTGTCCATTTTATCTCTGTTTATAAAGAATCCTAGCTAATGCTTTTATCATTCAGGAATACTATTTGGAACAAGTCTGGAAGCAGAGCGTCACTGACCTTGGGTAAGCCCCTTAATGATGTCAGAGACAGAATCTTCCTGATTCTGCTCAATGTATTTTTTTCCTTCCTAGTTATAAAATAATTGTCAAACTCCAGACATTAAATCAATGCTTAAGATGGAGAAAGGGGCAGTAATAGTCAAGTCTGTTTCTTTTATCAGAAAAGTAGAAACGTTCCTAGAATATTTATTTACTCCTGCTTTCATCTTATTTACCAAAACTGGGTCACATGGCCACCATTATCTGTGAGTTGAAGTATGTTTTGTTGTTGTTGTTGTAACATCAATTTATATTTTTTATATTTGTTGGTTCAGTTCATAATACTTTATTGCTTTATTTTCCAAGTGTATCATCCTTTAAGGATTCTAGAACTTTTAAAAAGATAAATTTGCTCCCTAAATATGCACCAGACTTATTTTATAATACCATATTACTTAAATATAAGATATTTAATTTATATGCGAAGATTCCTTCCACAATAGTTTCTGCTTCTGTTTAGTTGCCTTGCCAAGTAACAATGACTAACATGTATATACAGACATCTCATTTACATTGAGACTTGATATCAGGAACCTCAGAATAGAGGCAATAACTTAGAAATAGAAAATTATTTTTGACATCCAAGAAAGCTAAGAGCATGCTTATGAACTAAAACTTATACTATTTATGGTTATAGAAATTACCTTGATACCTTATCCAGAAATTCTACCTCAACGTATGTAAATATAAATCATGAATTGTATTTGATTTCCAAGTATAGAATATTGTAGATTCAGAATATTGGAGAAAGACCAACTAGATATCAGCAGAATTACTATCACAGGAGATATAAGATGGAAAAAGAAAGCACATTCAAGAATTATAAAATTATAAAGAGTGAATGCTAGGATTAAGTCTAGTCTTTTGTATTGAAAATTACACACACACATATGTCAGCAAAACATTTTAAGTAATTTTCATCAATATAACATAGTCATTTAATGGAAGTTAACAGCATAGTCAGAGTATTTATACAGAAATCATAGAAACATTTTGAATTTTAGAAAGACTTTTAATAAAAACAGTACATAAAAATTTTGGGCTTGAGTGGTTAAAATTGTTAAATTCCATAATCCATAAATATTTTGTAAAACGCCTTTTTCACTGATAGACCAAGGTGACATTACTATGAGTTTCTTGTAAGTCAAATAAACTCAAGTTAAGGCATGATGTATAATTCCTCATCTGATATTACTAAACAATAAATAAGACTGTTAAAACGAAGGCATGGTAAATTAATTCATTACAGAAATAATGCATCTTATTTGGTATTATAGTGGATAGATTCAAGTTTCCTCAAAGTAATCTGTAAGTTTTCATACATCTACTATGTTAGTATTTTAAAATGTAACAGTCTACATAATGCATTAGTTTAATGTAATTATTATTTATATTCATTCAATTTAATTATATAAAATTGTTAGAATGTTTTCTTAGAGAAATGTTTCATTTTCTAAAAATAAATCATTCACATAAATGACAAAAATAAGAAATTCATTTTAGGTTGTTTTCATACTTTTAGAAATCCCAATTTTTATAATAGCCTTAATGACTGACATTTCAAAGTCACTAAAAAGAAAAAAATATCCTTGGCATTTATTTCTAAGGCTTTACACAAATATGTATATCTACTATCTAGGTAGAATCTCTAAATAGTGCTTGTTTTGTTTACCCATGAAAAGTTTAAAATGAAAACATAGTAACCACTATAAAAATTGCTGCTGGCTGAGCAGTAAGATGTATTGTTTTTATTTTAATTTAATTTTACTTTTTCAAAAAATAACTGAATAGATTTCTAGGAATATTTCATGACATCAACACTCAAACATCAAGGAGCAAACTAAGTAACTTTCTCAGGCTGAAACATGATGAAATAATTAAAGAATGTCAAGGTTTCTCTGATAATTTAGAATCTCAAAAATTTCTACTCTGTTGAAGTATCTGATTGAGATATTAAAATAATGATAGATTGTGTGATTCTTAGGATTTTCTTAATTTTTTGATTAAACAAGAAAGCGAGTTTCCAGTACCACATAGCTGACATTTCTACTCCATTTATTGCCTAAAATATTATATCAGTTATTGGGGGGGGGGGCACAGAAACGGATTTGTTTTTATTTTCTTTTCAGGGAGATTCTCAAAATTATAAATATTGTTAGAAAAAAATGTATAAAATATCCTTTTGCTATAGAGTTGATATTGCCAGTGCAGCATTAAAAATAAGAATTTATTACATTTTCATTATCTTAACAAATAACCATATATTCATAAGTCAATCTATTTTTAATTTATCAATTGATTTTAAATTTTGAGCAATGTATTTTTAAAACTTTAGAAAAATTTAGAATTTCATAATAACTGGACATCTCAATATTTATCTAGTTCATACTCTGACCAAAAAAGTAATAAGAAATATACAATATGTCTATCATTTTTGGGCTGATGTAGATTGGTCTATCTAAAAGAATTTAGACAGAATTATCTTTTAGATGGTTCATAATATCTTGCCCAAAATTTTATTAGAAAACTGTTTTATTTTTTATTTTTTACTTTTTATTATTTTTAACATTTTGTGGGTACATTGTAAGTGTATATATTTATGGAATACATGAGATATTTTGTTAGAGACATACAATGTAAAATAAGCACATCATGGAGAATAGAGTCTCCATCCCCTCAAGCATTTATTCTTTGAGTTACAAATAATTAACGTACATTCTTTAAACTGTTTTAACATATACAGTTATTATCGACTGTAGTCACCATATTGCATTATTAAATATATGTTTGTTTTCTTTCTTTTTTTTTTTCTTTGAGTTCTGAGATACTTGTGCAGAATGTGCGGGTCTGATACATAGGCATACGTGTGCCATGGTGGTTTACTGCACAAAAGCAAAAATATAAAAATTGCAAGTATGTGCAATAATAATTACTCTAAATAAAATTAATGGTCTTAAAGTGACTAGAGAAGAGAAGCAATTTAGCCTAGGGATAGGTGACATAGCCTTCCTGGGGCACGTGGCATTTTAGTTGAGGTTTAGGGAGTAGTCCTGGGGAGTAGGAGCATCCTAAAAACCAGAGGAGTTTACTCACAACAGCTGTCACTAGTGAAGTACTGACCATATGCTCCTATGCCAACATTTATTCAATATTTACATAACCTCATTTAATCTTTACAACAACCTGAGAAAGTTGGGGCATTCTTATCTTAAAGAAAGGGAAAATAAGGCTCTGATAGATTGGATAACTTTTTTCTAGACAACTCAACATGTAAATGATGGCTCCAGAAATTGAAATAAGGCTGTCTGGCTCGGACGATTATGTTCCTTAGTACTCAGTTCAATATCATTATTTAAACATTTAGTTTTTATCTTGTATTTCTTAGCCAGTGACCCATTAGTTCTAAAGAAATAAAGTCAAATAAAATGGAGTTATTGCCTGGAAGGAACTCATTAGCGTGACTCATTCCATCACTATACCTTTGCATCATTGCTCCATTTTAAGTAACTAGAGAAGCCAAATCTGTTAATGGAAAAAAAAAAAAAAGAAAAAAAAAAAGATGCTGGGCGCGGTGGTTCACGCCTGTAATCCCAGCCCTTTGGGAGGCTGAGGAGGGCGGATCACGAGTTCAGGAGATCGAGACCATCCTGACTAATGCGGTGAAACCCCGTCTCTACTAAAAATACAAAAAATTAGCCAGGTGTGGTGGCAGGCGCCTGTAGTCCCAGCTACTCGGGAGGCTGAGGCAGGAGAATGTCGTCAACCCGGGAGGCGGAGCTTGCAGTGAGCCGAGATCGCACCACTGCACTCCAGCCTCGGTGACAGAGTGAGACTCGGTCTCAAAAAAAAAAATAAAATAAATATATAAATAAAAAAAGATGTTCATTCAGTTTTCAAAATATAAAATAGGTATACTTTAGCTCATTGCAATTAACAGTTTGGAGATGTTCTCAATTATTACTTTGTGTAATTCCTTTCTTTCTTTCTTTTTCTTTCTTTCTTTCTCTCTTTCTCTTTCTCTTTCTCTGTCTTTTCTTAGACAGGATCTCACTCTGTTGCCCAGGCTGGACAGTGGCAAAATTATGACTCACTGTAGCCTTAAATATAGTACCATGTATTTAGTATATAGTACCACATATTTAGATAGTCTGGACCTCCTGGGCTCAAGTGATCCTCCCTCTTCAGTCTCCCGAGCAGTTGGGACTACAGGCATGAGCCACAGCATCTAGCTCAACTTTGAGAAATTTTAATAACCTCTCATAACCCTGTATATAAATTATTTCTCTTTATAACATTTAAATCATACTATTCTCTTCCTTTCTTTCATTTTGAAAATTTTGGCTGATTCATTGGCACTTAGAGCTTTCATACCTGACATATAAACTAACAACAACAGCAAAAAAAAAATTGCTGTTGTAATTCAAAGGTAATATTATCATTCCTGTGAATAGCCTTTCTGGTTCATTGTAAGTTTACTTGCATTATTATATTTAAAAAATTCAGTAAAGGTTAATGTTATTTTGCTTGCTTCAGTGATCCTATGCTTGATTTTCCCATTTCAGATGATAACGTATGTCATATGAAAGTTTTCAACTTAACTCTTGTTTTCATGATGTGGTCCTGCACACATTTATAAGCACATATTTTAAAGACATTGTTTGCCTTAAGGAGAAGTCATTCAAAATTATGCAAATGGACAGGGCCAACTGTAAATAGTTCTGAGACCCTATGTATTGCTTTCTCCCAAAAGGAGCATGTATACCCTTTTTTTCTGTAATCACATTGTAGAAACATGGGCCAAAGTAAGTTACAAAATATAATGGGAAAATGACAAGCTTCTAGAATTGTCTAACATTGTCATTAATGTCATTCTTGGGGTAGATCTTTGATTGTTTTTCCATTTTCCTTTTGCTTTTACTCCTATTTTTTCCTTATATAGTACCACATATTTAGATAGCCTCATTTTTTCCTTTAATTCATACACAAATAAATAATTTCCCCTCAATTGCCCTGTGAGCTGCAACTCTACTTCCTTAGAGTTCCTGTCATAAGCAACTGATCTCAGTACCCAACTGAAGCAATGTTCTTAAGGATACTTTTATAATATAAACCTCCAATTAATATAAATAATGTCTCATGATGTTTCTCTTTCAAGCTGCTTCCTCATAAATCATTTTCCCATTCTTAAGAACAACTCTCAATATAAGGACAAACCCATAAGCTAGAAAAATAGCTCTTGAAGTATAGAAAATATCATCGAAGATTTCTTTTCTGGTGTGACTCTTCTAAGCATGGGATTAAACTTGAGGACATCTAAGTTTGTAGCCAAAGTATGGGTCATTTACAGTCAAACCACCTGTATTCAGATGCTGGGGTGCTTTTCACTCATCAGTCATAGTTATTTTTAGCATGAACAAATGTGCTAAGTGGGTATCAGCTTGGTCCCATGTTTACTAGAAATTTTGAAACAATTTCCTTTAGAATGGCTCCAAAATGATTGTCTCTCCCTCAGAGGATGGGTATTGGTTTGGGAGCCCCACATTTGTCCTCACTTGATTTGACTAAAAAGATACTTGGTAATTATTTCTGAAGAAGCGAACCAATTATATGAATAGCATGTTTTTGCTATTTGCTATCTATTTTAACTTGAGTCTTTTATTAAGCAGTACTTATAAATGCCCAGTTTGCTGCTATGCTGGTTGTTGGGGTTGTTACAGCGACAGGTGGCCTTCTGCAAGCCAAGAATAGAGGCCTCAGGATAAACTAAGCCTATTGACACTTTGGTCTTGGACTTTTGGCTTCCAGAATTGTGAGGAAATAAATTTCTGTTGCTTAGTCCACCCAGCCTGTGGCATTTTGTTATGGCAACGTGAGCCAATATAACATCCAGGTTCTCAGTAGTGCCTTTCTAACTCAAACACTAAACATAATTTTTCTTTCCAGCTGTGACATTATTTGAATCTTTGCATTGCTCTTCTATTTTCTGCAATATTATCATTCCCTTCACTACTTCCATGAGGATTATGGCAAGAGGCCCAGGGAGTTTGTATTATTTGAGAACTGACAGCCAGAAAGTAACAACTGGTCAGAAATATACTCAAACATTTACTCTTTAGAAAGTAACAACTGGTCAGAAATATACTCAAACATTTACTGAAAGAGATCAACTATAAATAGAGTTAGAGATATTTTAGAGGCTCGGTCTGATGTTTCACATTACATTGAATCTTTAGGTGAGTAGCTCTATGTGTTGACTGTGATGGCATCCTGTCTTTCCCTTCAAAAAAAAATCAAAACATTTAATTATTTACAAGCTTATTTGTACTACTCATTATATTTTTTAATAATATATGTTGCATCTCGTAAATACTATCCTCTCAAACAGTAATTTCAGGATAAACAAATAATTAAATATTCACATTAAATAGAAGAAAGGCTAAAAATACATAGTAATGTATTATGAAATAGTATGAATGGTGCAGCACTTATGAAATTTGAGAAACAAATTATACATTATCATTTAATTACAGTCCAACCTTTGAATTTGTCTTTTATAAGACAAACAAATTTTGAAATATTTGTTTTGAGTGATTTGTGTAATTAAACTTTGATTCCTATAAACAATCTGATGGATAAATACTTAAATTTGAACTGTCCTGGGCAACATTGCTATATTGGTCAATCATAACTTCCATATCTTTAAACAGATAATTTAATTAAATTTAATAGAATAATTAAATGTATTTATTTTATTCTAGTTTTACAAATATTTTATACCATAAAAAGTTAATTTAACAAACATTACAAATATAATCAATCAAAATATTTTTCACATAAAATAAGCAGAATATAACATCTTAATTTCTAAAGAAATTGTTAGACTGATTATAGCTTAAGATCAAATGAAGTAGATAACAAAGTACCCAGCACAATTCATGTAAAATAGTAAATTACTACTTGTGAGTCTTATTTTATTTTATTTTATTTTATTTATTTATTTTTTTGAGATGGAGTCTTGCTCTGTCACCCAGGTTGGAATGCGATGGCACAATCTCAGCCCACTGCACTGAAGTTCAACAATTCTCCTGCTTCAGCCTCCGGAATAGCTGGTATCATGTGCCACCACACCGGGCTAATTTTTGTATTTTTAGTATAGATGGGGTTTCACCATGTTGGCCACGCTGGTCTCAGACTTCTGACCTCACGTGATCGATCTGCCTCAGCCTCCCAAAGTGCTGGGATTACAGGCATGAGCCACTGCACTTGGCCCCCACATACGTATTTATACACATATATACTTATGGTTGTCTTTTGTGGATATATGTGTGTGTGTGTGTGTATGTGTGTTCATTTATACTTATGGTTACGTTTTAAATGAAAATAATATGTGAACTGCATTATGTATGGCCTAATGAAGTGTTTGTGAAAACGCCTAATGTGTAATTTTTAAACAATTGTGAACATACTGAAAGACTTGCTAATTGCCTGTCTTACAGCTGCAGACTACTGCTAAATTGATATAATATGGATAAGCAGAAAGTTGTTTCTGTTCTTTTTTAAAAAAGAATATTTGTGATAAAGACATAAGTAGGGTCAAAACAAAACTTTTCCTCACAGTTTTTAAGAACAGCTAGACTTATCTTCTAGAAATAGAAACCAAACAATTTTCTCAATTTAATTTCAACAATTTACACTGTCACCAATTAAAGAAGGCAATTTTTTTTTGTTTTTTTTTGAGATGAGTCTCGCTCTGTTGCCCAGGCTGGGGTGCAGTTGTGCAATCTCGGCTCACTGCAACCTCCACCTCCTGGGTTCAAGCGATGCTCCTTCTCCAGCCTCCCGCATAGCTGGCATTACAGGCACACACCACCATGCCCAGGTAATTTTTGTATTTTTAGTAG
This sequence comes from Homo sapiens, assembly GCF_000001405.40. Taxonomy (NCBI): domain Eukaryota; kingdom Metazoa; phylum Chordata; class Mammalia; order Primates; family Hominidae; genus Homo; species Homo sapiens. The sequence goes on along the minus strand of NT_187536.1, from coordinate 5,299 downwards.
AGATGGGGTTTCTCCATGTTGGTCAAGCTGGTCTCAAACTCCTGACCTCGTGATCCACCCGCCTCAGCTTCCCAAAGTGTTGGGATGACCTGCATGAGCCACTGCACCCGTTCTAAAGAAGGCTATTTACCAGCTCAAAAGATATGGAAAAATATTTAACTTTTAGAAACTGAATGTCAGATAATTTATTCACTTGAAACCTTTTCGTGATAAAAAAAAAAGCTGTTTGAAGACAAACAAACAAACACACAAAAACAAAAAGAAACCAAAGTCCTGGACACCGGATAGTATTTCAACAAATTAATAGTATGATGCCAAAGAAAATTCATTTGGATTATATATCAAGCAAAAAGCAACTTTTATAAATGTACTTTGGTATGAACTAGTGTTAAAAAATTAAAATGTTATTGCTGTGAGTGTTATGACACTTGAGTGAAACAGTGAGCATCAGTGTGCACACTGAAAGACAATAAATAATGTTGTTTGAAGTATGTCAGCTCTTTTCATTATTCCATGCATCTATCATAGCTTTATTTGTAGTACATTAGAATTCATTTGATCTTTTAAATTAAATAAATAACTTATTTCTGAAAGTAACTCAAAGTAAAAAGTCTTAAAAACCATTGAAGTCATTTTGATGCCACTAGGATATAGAGTATGGAAAGAAAAAATGGGACATATTGTATATGTATTACATGTAATGTAAACTTTATTAATTATAAGCTCTAAAGATATACATTGATAAATAATAAGACATTGAAAATAAACTTTAAAGTAAAAATTTAACCAGCCATGTATAAATGCACGTCTCCCCACAGAGCTTGTAACCAGGCCTGACTTTGGCCCCAAGTGAATTCATTGTCACCTGGTCCTGAAGTTATTTATTGCTACAACAAAGAAACAACAACAACAAAAAAAATGCAGCAATGCTTTCAACAAAGGTGAAATTAATGGTGAAAATGGAATGAGCACCTGGACCCAACTGTTAAAAACCTTAAAAACTAATGTGACAGTCAAATTATCAAAATGTGGAAATTCAAATCATTTTAGTGGACACAAATCAGTAAGTGGCCAGGACAGAACTGTCTGGAAAGTTTATAATACACACCCAAGAAATGAAGAAGAAAACAATATCCTGCTGTTTCGAAACCAACCAGTTGGAATATGACATGACAGTGCATAAGCTAGAAACGTCCCAGTGATTTATCATTGAACATTCTATGTTGACAGATAGATTAAATAAACAACATGTCACAATTGGAGTTGGCCATTAAGAAAGGAAATCCACTAACTGAATTTGAAATTAATGTTACCAACAGGAGGCTTCAGGAGAATTGGAATTTAACCAAACGACAAATAGAGTCCTCTGTTGGTGCAGAAGCAGAACAGCATACATTAAAATGAGAAAGGAAGTTTAGCAAAGGAGGGGCCAAGAGTAACTAATGAAAAGCGTGAGCATTTAGTTGCATATCTTTCCCACTAAGCAGACAGCTATTAAACTCCTGGCCACTATCTCAAAGTAATGCCTACGCTTATATCCTATAGTCACATATATGACCAGGAACAATTTAAAGTTCTTGTCCAAATTCTGGACAAATATTATATACCACAGTAAGATATCTTAAGTAGTTTTATAAATATGTGTTTATTAAATGAGATATGGATAGTAGGGGAAAAATGTTTATTTGAGAGATTTACCCTTAGCAAGGAACAAATAATTCAAGATCTATTGTGCAAGAAATCTTGTACATAGACTGATTTCCTTCCTGTATAAGCCTATTTAAATTGGGTAGACAGATGCATGGCTAAAATTTTTAAATAATCCTTAATGAAACTGAAAAATGTGTTGCAGTACTATTTCATAATGGTAAGATAGCTATTTAAATTTATCACATCAATGTAATAAATAAAATAAAGAAATGTATTACAAGGAACTATAATTATTTTCTCAAATGATACATTAGAATAAAACAAAGAATAGCTTAAAAAAATATTTAAAATGTTTATAATCTATAACATTGATAGTAACTTTAATTGGAGCAACATTAGAATAGAATCTAAACTCTGAATATTGTTCTTATTTTAATGCCAAGAAAATAAATAATTCTGTCTCTGTTTTAACTTTTATGGAGTTGGGCTAGTGCATGTATTTACTTTAGATGATATGTCCCAATAAAATTATCTAAAACTATTGTAAAACTATGAGTCTCCACTGAGAAATGTAAAGTTATAATAGGAACTAAATACTTAAGAAGTTACAGCATGCCCTTCTATGAGGTCAGTAATTATTATAATAAATCAAGATACTTAGATTTAAAAATAGTGATGTAAAATGTTAAAACATTGCTATGACTGTAATTACTAAAATTGTGAACAAGTATTGTTTGTTTACATACTTTAATATACATGGGATTTTATTGTGAAAGAGACACTCTAGAACAGTCCACCTAAATATAAATGTATAGTTCTATTAAAAGATATATGAAATATATAACTCAGCATCCATTATATTAGTATAGGTTTTTAATTTAAAAAATTGAAATATCTGATATTTTGATAGTTGGGGATATTTTAATGGATAATATGCTTCTAAATAATATAATCTGCAACTAGGGAATTTTTATTATAAGTTTCAATGAGTCTGCTCAACAGGTATGATAAGTATAAGCATGAGTTCATCTGAATTAATAAAAACACATTATACTCGTACTTCAAGTATGGAAAAGAAAATGTGAAAAAAGAGTTGAAATTGTTTCTTTATATGTTACTTTTTAGATATAGGATTTATGCTACTTAGCTTATTCACATTCATTAAAACCTATTTATATAATATATGTTACCTGTATATGTTCCATTTTTTGTTGCAGTAGAAGAAGTATATTGTAAAAATCTAAGGTTTGTGGCTTACCTGTCTTGTGCCATGAGACTATAGGATAATATTTCTTATTGATGAGAAAATAATAGAATATAATTCTGAAGGCGATATATGTTGCAATGGAATACAGTTCATTTTTAAAGTGATAACTTTGATTCCTCCCTCAAAAGTTTATCTTTACACTTCATGAGAAAACTGCCAAATGTCTTTGCAAAACCCTAATTACTGACATGTGACAAAAATTTTGGCTGAGGTTCATGTAGAAATAAAACATCAAAACAAAAACTTGACCAAGCAGTAGAATGAATGCCTTCCCATGATTTAAGAAAATATACCTTTTTTTTTTTGTTTTTTTTTTTTACTTACCAACACCTAAAATAGAAAGATGATGAATTTGGTGTGGTATCTTAATCTCTATTCCTTCTGAGCCATTTACATAATATCAGAAATTAAGATCTATTTGTTTCACTTTAGGCATAAAAATTAGGTACATAACGGGTAAGTCTGACATCCCATCTCAAACTGGGATTCTTTCAGAAATTTGCACTTTCCATGACATTTAAATTTTTATAAAGCCTATTCCCAGATAATAAAGTAAGAAAAAACAACACATGCGAGAATGTGCTTAAGCAGAGCTATTAACTCAAATTTAAGCAATAGTTGGGAAAACTAGGGAAAACTATTGCTTAACCACTGGAAAATATTTATTGCAGTCCTAAGTCCATGATATATCATATAAATCAGGTAAAGCATGCAGGTAAAAGAAGTATCTTTTTGATTGCCTAGGTTTCAAAAATCACTACCATGTATTCTCATCAAGAAAGAATGGGAAAATTATAGGTTTTCACAAAAAGATAAGAAAATTGATGCTCTGAGTTTAGGAAATCATGAGTATTAAGCCAAGAAAGAACACAAATATTTGATGTCAGTGTCATTGATACTACTCATGGACCTTGAGAATTTGACTAAGTATTCTAGCAGGAAAATGTAGTGATAGAATACCCTTAACAAATAAATGTGCTTTTCTATATGGTGAGAAACCATCTTTTATTAACAATTATGCTTTAGTAAAAAACAAACTTAGAGTGATAGGAAGATCTGGAAATCAAGTAGTCACGCTGAAAAATCAACAAAGGATGTAAATTAGGAAGGAGATGTTATAGCCAGAGAAAAAAGAAAAAGAAAAAATTAAAAAAAATTTAAATTATATTTAGATTGTAAATTGTACAGAAAATAAATACAAAACATAGTTTCGCATTTCACAGTAGCTATGAAGTAAATGGATCCTGATTTTGCCCCAAATTTGAGGGCGGTGATACTAATGCCAAAGAGTCCTAGTCATGAGCATAATTTAACATATATTATATGACTGAGAATTTGTGGGGAGACAAGTTTTTAGGAAACTGAGTTTGTTTTTAATTCTAATACTTGATGACCCACCAGAGTTAAGAAAGACAAATAAAAGAGTTGATATGAAAATTGTCTGAAAAGTTAAAAGTGTTATGCAAAGCTAAAGTTTTTTTTTTTTTTTTTTTAATGAACTGGGTTTTACCTGTCCATGAGTCCCTGTGGTTTGTCAGTGATCCCTTAATTTCACTGAACAAACCTATTGCATCTTATGCTGACATGACCAGAAGTCAGCATTATATTCAATATAATTTTCCATGAAGCGGGTGTTTTACAACTAAATGAAAAAACAACTATCATGCAGTAAGCATTTCTTCAAGCATATTTTACAACTTCACTACTGTTCAAAATATTTTCTACTGTTCCATATTTGTCCCTTGGGCTTCAGCTAAAAAAAAAAAATCAGCTTTATTTAAGTATAATGTGTTCTATCAGTGGTGGTTATTGGATTGCTTTCTTTACATAACTACCAACAAGAAACTCTTGGTATATAAAATAAAATATTCTTTCATGCCAAAGCATAATTACTCATCCAAACTAAAGATGTAATTCAAAGTTTTGGCTAAAAGTGACTATATTTGCAAAGTTCCAAAAGTTAAAAAAAGTAAAGCTAAGTGATAAAAATCATTAGCTGATGATGTTTACAGTTTTGCTTTTTAGTTACTTTAGCAGATGCAATATTGGCTTCTTTTCACAGTACATTAGATATGCAATTACTGGAAGCAAGAGATAGATTTACATTATATAAAACTGGTCAGCATAAGATTAATTATGAGCAGAGAACTAAAAATGTGCCAGTGTTGAAATAGTTATCACCATGAGGACATTCAGATCCAAATGATTAAATTAGCCTTTGGCTAGATGATAACTACTTGACAGTCACCAAATTAGTAAAATGCAGAAATTAAGAATCATGGCATTCTTTACCATAAAAAGACTGATACTGATATTTTATATCTTTATTGTATACATTTGATTTTCTTTACCCATTATGAATTTCCTTTTATTACTTTATTA